>NC_000001.11:51523531-51675047 GCF_000001405.40 Homo sapiens | reverse complement strand
TCATTCCTAGGCTATAAACCTGCAAGCTTGTCCAATCTGCTGCCCACAGGCTGCATGTAGCACAGGATGGCTTTGAATGCAGCCCAATACAAATACATAAACTTTCTTAAAACATTATGAGGTTTTTTTGTAATTTTCTTTTTTAGCTCATCAGCTATCGTTAGTGTATTTTATGTGTGACCCAAGACAATTCTTCTTCCAATGTGGCCCAGGGAAGGCAAAAGATTTGATGCCCTGCTATAGAGTATGTTACTGGACTCAATACTGAGGGCAACTACAACACAATGGTAAGTATTTGTGTATCTAAACATAGAAAAAGTACAGTAAAAATATGGTATTATAATCTTATAGAACCACCATCATATATGTGGTCCATCGTTGACCTAAATGTCCTTATGCAGCACTTGACTGTACTTATCTGCCTAGCCGTTAGGCATTCATATTTTCAACTTCTAGTTCTACCTACCAGCAGTATGCTGACGATCACAAATCTCCATTTCCAGCCCAGACTCAGATCCAATTACCATCATCTATGTGTCCCACAGACACCTTAAACATAAGAGGTCCCTCACCACTACCTCTGCTCTCCTATATTCTCTATTTCAGATGCTGACAGTGAGGCACAATGGCTAACACCTGAAATCCCAGTAATTTGGGAGGCTAAGGCAGGAGGATTGCTTGGGCCCAGGAATTCAAGACCAGCCCTGGCAACATAGTGAGTTATACCTCAATAAAGTTGATTAAACATACACACATATAAATTTTAACTCAAAAAATAACTATTACAATAAAAATTTTTTATTAAAAAAAAAATTAGTCAGCCATGGTGGTGCAGGCTAATTTTTTTAGTAGTTCCAGCTACCTGGGAGGCTAAGGTGGGAGGATCACTTGAGTCCAGCAAGTCGAGGCTGCAGTGAGCCATGATCATGCCACTACACTCCAGCCTGGGTGACAGAGCAAGGCCCTGAAAAAAAAAAAAAAAGAAGAAGAAGAAAACAAAGGAAAGAAAGAGAGAGGGAGAGGAAGGAAGGAAGGAAGGAAGGAGTTGACAACATCCAACAGTAAGCCAAGCCAAGAGCATCACCCTTAGTACCCAAATTCTCTCACCTCCCATTTCTGAGCAATTACCAGTTCCTACAGATTAAAAAAAAAAAAAAAACTTTTTTAGAGACAGGGCATCACTATATTGCCCAGGCTGGAGTGCAGTGGCTATGCACCAGGTGTGATCATAGAACACTACAGTCTTAAACTCCTGGGCTCAAGTGGTCCTCTGGCCTCAGCCTCCTGAATAGCTAGGACTACAGGTGCATACCACTGTGCCCCAGTTCCTATAGATTTTTTAAAATCTCAAATCTAGTCCATTTTCCTCCCTATTATCACTGCTTTAATCTATTTAAGGTCTCATCAACAACCACAGCTATGTTATAACACTATGAATAAACTGCCCATGCTCCAAGCCAAAGACACTGCTCCCACCTGTGTGTTAGATCCCATTCTCTCTTGCTTTCTCCAGGACACTGATCCAGCAACTCTCTCCTTTCTCTCTTGCATCATCAATTCTTCCCTGTTTACTGAATCACTGCCAACAACATAGAAATGCTATTATTTCTCTTATCCTACAAAAACAAAACAAAAGCTCCCTTGCTCCCATTTCCCCTTCCGGTTACTGCTATATTTCTCATCTTCCCTTTACATCAAAACTTGAATGCACTGTCTCCACTCCTATCTTAAAATCACTCTTCTCAAGGTTACCAATAAACTTCTCAGTATTAAATCCTGTAATCATTTCTCAATCCTCATCTTATTTGATCTGTCAGTAGCATTTGACATAGTTGCTGATCCTTCTCTCCTCCTAGAAACACCTTTTCTTGTGGCTTCCAAAGTACCACATTCATTTGGTTTTCCTCCTCCTTTTTGGTTGCTTCTTCTCAATCTCTTTTGCTGGTTTTACCTCATCTTGCGCCCTCTCAATAAATGTTTGAGTGCCCCAGGGCTCTGTAGTTGGACCTCTTTTCTCTCAACATTTATTCCCAAATTCTTGTGGCTTTCAATACCATCTATGTGCCAATGACTCCCAACTCTATTTCTGCAGACCAAACTTTTCCACTGAACTCCAACTGCCTACTTGACATCTCCATTTGCCTATTTGGTGGACATTTAAAACTTGTTTAGTAAACATGTCCAAAGCTAAGCTCTGATGCCCACATTTCCCTCACCCTCCCAAAACTAGTTCCTCCTGCAATCTTCCACTTCAGTTAATGGCAACTCCATTCTTGTTACTCAACCTAGACTTGTCTTTCTGTCATATGTTACAGCTCAACCTTCAGAATAAATATACTGTCATACAATGAAGTATTACTTAGCAATATAAAAGGAACTATTAATATATACAACAACATAGATGAATCTTAAAAACATTATGCTGAGCTAAAATAAAGCCAGAAAAGAGAGTACATATGGTATGATTCCATTTATGTGAAATTCTCCTAACAAAACATCTATTCTACAATGATAGAAAGCAGAAAAGTAGTTGCCTGGGGCCGGGGGCTGGGGCTGGGGACTGACTGACAGGAGCATAAAGGAATCTTTTGGAGTGATGGAATCTATATCTTGATTGTGGTGGTAGTCATGAGTAAATAAACTGATTAAAATGCCTAACTGTATATTGTGTACATTTTATTGTATGTTAATTACACCTCAATAAAGGTGATTAAACATGCACACAATTCGACCACTTCTCACTATCTCCCCATCTCCACTGCTACCATGTGGGAGCCACTACCACCTCTCTTCTGGTTTACAACAGCCTCTTACTGCAGAAATAGTTTCCCTACTTCTGTCCTTGCCCCTCTGAATTTTACTCCCAACACAGTGGCCAGAGTCATCCTGTTAAAACATAAATCACACCATGTCACTCCTCTGCTCAAAACCTTCTAATGGCCTTTTATCTCAGTCAAATTCAATGCCCTTATAAAGGCCTCATATGGTTGGACTTCCTGTGTCCTCTCAGATTTCATTCTCCATTACTCTCCACCCATGGTTATCTGCACTCCAGCCAGAGCTGACCTCTAGCTGTTCTTCAAATATATGAGTATAAACTACAAAAAGAAAAACAAAACAAAGTATATGACTGTGTTGGGGAGGAAGGCAGGGTGGGTACGTCATTCCAGGCAAAGAAATGATGTATTCACCCCACCTCCCCCACCAACATAGCCATATACTTTGTTCCCTGACTTTCTTCAGCTCTTCACTAAAAAGGCACCATCTCAGTGAGTCTTTCCCTAGCTACCCTATTTAAAATTTCAACACTTCCCCTCTCCCTGCAACCTCACCTCTATTTCATTTTCTCCTTTCGTATTTTATTTTTTTCTCCCCAGGACTTATCACTCTCATTTACTTATATTTTACTAACTTATCATGTTGATCGTGTTGATTACCTTTCTCCTTTCCTGGAATGGATGACTCAAGGGGCAAGGAATTTTATCTGTTTTGTATACCACTGTATCCCCAGAATAATGTCTAAAATAGATGTTGAATGAATAAATGAATGTATCTGAACAAACTCTAGCTTTCCCTTTAATAGTTGACAGTAGAATTTGTTTTATAATGCATCAACTGATATTTCATTTGCTTAAAAAAAAACTGGTGTATTCAATAAAAACTTCAGCACATTTAAAGATATGTTCACATATATAGCTAAAATTTGCTTTCAATTCTAATCAAGAATTTAAGATCTCTCAGACACTGATAACTTTGTATCAAATTTGCAGGGATTTTATGATCAAGGACCTATGAATGTGAAATAGCTCTCATTAACGAAAAAAAAATACAGTCTTACCAAGTTCTTTGCAAAATCCAGATCTCATGCTAAAACTCCCATAACTACTACAATAGAAAATAAACTAATTATTCTGACAGTTTCAGAACTATGAATCCATTTTTAAAATGTGCATAACTCTTATCATTTAAATCCTTCCTGAGGAATATTTCTTGTTTTATAAGCCAAATAAGTATGAGAGTGCCAAAGGGGACATAAATAATTTAAAAGTAAATCAGAAGGTAGAGGTACAGCTTCTGAGGGTCCAAAGGAGGTGTCTCCTTCTTAGTAACTGCAGAGAAGAGAATTCCATACTGCAGCCTTACCTGCACCCAGCAGCTCTTTCTTGAAATGCATTAAAATATTCAACTTCATTCAAGTAAAGAGTTCCAGAGTGTAGGAATTACCTGCTGATTTATAGGCAGCATTACATATTTAACTTAAAAATAAAAACTCTGGGCTTTCATAATAGGATTTAAAATGTTTTATGAAGTTAAATATAGTAGAAAATTTCAGGACAGCATCGTTATTAAAGCAGCTCTGAATAAATTATATCATCAAACACAGTAAATATTTTAAGGTTATGTGGAAGAAAGCATTAGAGATATCACTATTGAGTACACTGGTTTAGGTTTGTTGAATATAACCTGCATCTTTCATTACTATCTGTCAATTTCTGAAAGAAGACAATGAAGAAAAATAACTGCAATTCACTATCCTAGCACAAAAAGACAACAGCTGCCTAAACACCTCATATAACATATCTGGCCTCTGTTAGACTTCATAACCAAAACATTTTTAAGCAATAAATGTATTTAATATTTATTTATCTTGGCATACCTAGCATCTCTAACAGTGCACTGTTACTTGTAGTTGAGAGAAAGTGCTAACCTCTCCAAATCTTTTCATTTCTAAGTTTCTTGAACTGCTCGAAACATAAAAGAGAGATTACTCTGGAAAGGCAAAATAACAAAACCATTAATACTAAAACTAACAGTCACTCCTAATAGACAAGAGGTACTTAGGACAAGATCATTAAAATTGACTTTTATTTGCTGGTTTAGAGTTTTCAAAGCAAAATGAAATGAGAATGATCATACAGTACCTTACCCTTTCTACCGGTGAACCATAGCATGCAATGCCGAAACATAGCAGTGGCAGATGGCATTTAACTATAAAAAGGATAATAGCAGAGAAATGATGGCTGGCAAACAAAACACAGAAATACAGATGAAATGAATGCAAACTTGTAGTTCTTGAAGCAGAGCAAAACCTTTAAGCCAAAGGTTGCCACTAAGCTTCAATTTAATTTATATTTTGAGTTTTACACAGACAAACACTGCAACCTTCACAATCAGTCTTTAGACTCTTCATGCAGAAGCAGAACCATACTCCTTGATAAAGAAGATCAGCAACCTTCTGTAAACACAAGCCAGCAGCAGCAGCAGCCCATTACTCTCTCCCTTCACTGATTTTTATCCTTTAAAATTTTCATCTCCAACTGCAGCCAGATCCACAGTCGTTTCAAATCGATCTACATCCATTGCAGATACAAATCCCTGCCTAACCTGCAGTACCACTTCATCCAGAATGTTCCTATGCACTCGTTCATGCAGGATCAGTTGCAAAACCATTCAAGTCATCCAGCAAACAACCCAAAAGAGAAGAAAAGAAGCAGATGGGACTATGAAGAGAAAGAATCTCTTCTTTCAGCTCACCCTGGAAATGGAAGGTTTTCTGATCAACAGTTATTGTGAAGGTGCTGTCGTCCTCATCGTCTATACCAATCACAGCTCCCTGTGAAACAAAGAGCAAAATCCCAATAAGGCAAACAATGACATCAGCAATATTCACTACTGCTATAGCCCTGGAATACTCAATGCACCAACGACACTGGAAGCAGGCTAGACACAGAAAAGAGGAAACTGAGACTCTAGTTTTGCTTAAGGAGAAAGAACTAAAGGAGAGGAGCTGGCAGGACACTCTAGTACCATGTACAGGTACATTCTATGCCTTCCTTAAGGGCATAGATGTGCTGGGAGGCGGAAGGGACAAACACAGAAGCTGAATCTAGGATCTGTGTTTTAAGAGCCAGCCACTGAGCCTTTCTGAACTTCAGAATGCTCTCTAAAATGGGAGTCAAAAACCTACACCTCACCAGGTTGTTGTAAGGCTGAAAGAAGGCAGGTGCTCTTCAGCAGGCTGCTTCTGTGATAGTATATACTTGTTAGTGTAGAAATGCCAGGTGACATTTGCTTCAAAACACTGTCCCAACCCCTTCTTCCAAGTGCTTCCATAACCACTTGTACATTGCCCTCCAAGAGCACTTTTCACAGTATACTGTGATTATCTGTTCATATGTCAGCATCTTCCTACAGAACCACTATGAAATCTTAGAAATCAAGGACTATTTTATTTGATACATGGCACTTAAGTACATACTTAGTATATGTTTCTAAATAAGAGCACAAACAACTCTCCAAACTGGGGGGTGGGCAGGCACACACAATGGGGAACTGAATTTACAAGTTGTTTTGGGAAGGCGGACTGGGTAGGTTTTAACCCTTTTAAAAAATACTTTTTTATTACTATTTTTTGAGACAGAGTCTCACCCTGTTGCCTAGGCTGTCACCCAGGCTGGAGTGCAGTGGCACGATCTCGGCTCACTGCAACCTCCACCTCCCAGGTTCAAGTGATTCTCCTGCCTCAGCCTCCCAAGTAGCTGGGATTACAAGCGTGTGCCACCACACCCGGCTAACTTTTGTATTTTTAGTACAGACAGGGTTTCACCTTGTTGGCCAGGCTGGTCTCGAACTTCTGACCTCAAGTGATCTGCCTGCCTCAGTCTCCCAAAGTGCTGGGATTACAGGAGTGCGCCACCACACCTGGCCCCCTTTTCTTAATATTCAACTACATGCATTCTGTGAAGACAACAGGAATTAAGATAAGAGACAGGAAACTAAGCAAAATAGGGAATCTATTGTTCAATGTCCTTAAGAAAAAAGTATCTTAAGTATTCCAGAGAGAAAGACTACAGAACACAGAATAGGTCAAATGCCTCAGGTGATAAGAGAAGCCGTGTGCCCTTGATAAAACCAGAGACCTTGACAAGGGAGTTGAAATGACTCAAGGGGACAAAATACCTAATCCCATGAAAAAAGGCTACATAGGGGGACTACTCCTATACCAGGAATATTAGGGAATAGGATCAAACATTTATTCATTTCTTCCCCAGAGGCTATCTGGATGAACCCCAACTCTATCCAAATTCCACCTACTTGAATTACTTTACTTATTCCTCAGTGTCAGATGGGGTAGGAAATTTTATCTCCATTTTCAAATAGGGAAAGTGTCTCCAGAGAGTATAATGACTTGCCCAAGGTCACACAAAGCCTTAACAGCAGAACCAGTACCAGATCACCATTGGCATGGAACCTAGCTATTCCACGACAGCAAATACAGACACACTTCAGTGGGTAAGCACGTGCAGAAACAGCTCATTCTGGTTAATGTAATTTGTGATTAACTGAGTTAACCTTCTAACTTGTGATGTATCAAATATTTCCTGAGCCATAACTAAATACCAAAATATATGCAATATACAGCTCTGGAATATATGCCCTGCCTTCAAGGCACTTATATCCAGTACAGGAGATAAAACATGCAAAGAGGTGACTATAATACAGGGCGAAAAGTTATCTCTCTCTGGATGAACCTTGAAAACAGTATGCTAAGTGAAAGAAGCTAGTCACTAAGGATCACATGTTACATGATTCTACTTACAAAAAATGTCCAGAATAGGTAAATTCATAGACTGACAGTAGATTAGTGGTTGTCTAGTGCTGGGAGGGTTGGGGTGAAATGGGGAATGGCTGCTAATGGGTATACTAGATTTCTTTACAAGGTGATGAAAACATTCTAAAATTGACTATGATGATGGTTGAACAACTCTGTGAATATACTAAAAACATAAATTGGATACTCCAAGTTGATAAATTGCATAGTATATGTATTATATCTCAACAAAGCTATTGCAACTCACTCCACTCTCAAATGCCTGCTCTTTCTCTTGAGTTCCTTAATTAAGAACCCAAATGTAAGCTCAACAAGTCACCTAGTCAACTCTGGTAGAAACCTCCAGGTCTGTACAACTACCCCTTGTTCCATTACCACAGGCTGTGCTCATTCTACCTCTCAACTATTAAGTTCACCAACTTGTCTCCATCCTCTCTGCTACTTCTGTAATTCAGGCTTTCATCGTTTCTTGTTTGGTAACAATCTGCCTGCCTTCAGTCTGGACACTTTACAGTTAGTTCACAGTCCTTGCTATTGCCGGAGTAATATTTCTGAAGCACAGACTCTTATTAGAGACTCACATGTTTAAAACCTTCCTTGGCTCTCTATGAACTAACAGATAAAGTCAGCATTACTTCATAATGTCATTCAAGGCTGTTCAAAATCTGGCCCAACCAACATTTCCACTATCGTCACCCAGCTTCCTTCTGCCCCACCTCACAGACACCCCATATGAATTCAGCTTCCACATTTCTTCCACATACCTCACTCATGAAAATGAGTTCAGTGCAATAGCTGGCAGCATTAACTAGTCACTGTGGTTTAGTGCTCTGTGATGACAAGATTGACGGCAGTGTTATCCAACAGAACTTTCTGCAGTGATTAAAATGTTCTGTATTTGTACTGTTCAGTTTAATAGTCACTAGCAACAAGTGGCTACTGAACATTTGAAATATGACTAGTATGACTGAGGATCTTAAATTTTTAAAATAATTATTTTAATATTTTAAATTTTTAAAAACACCAAGCAATTTCACTTTTTAAGGTCATTCTTCAAGCTCTATTTCTCACCATTTGTTAAACAAAAGCAAAATCCCACATCTCCCTCTAGCTACCACATCTCCTCACATTGCTTTCAGAGAGGAGCTTTTTGAAAATTGGCTGTACCTTAACCTTCCATCCACTCTTGCAAGCTGGCTTCCTTCCTCTCACGGCACCAAACTTCTCTCTCACAGATCTCCAATGACCACATTACTACTTTAGTTTTGTTGTACAGAACTTCTCCGGAGGCCGGGTGCGGCGGCTCACACCTGTAATCCTAGCCCTTTGGGAGGCCGAGGCGGGCGGATCACCTGAGGTCAGGGGTTTGAGACCAGCCTGGTCAACATGTTGAAACCCTGTCTCTACTAAAAATACAAAAATTAGCCAGGCATGGTGGCGCATGCCTGTAATCCCAGCTACTCAGGAGGCCGAGGCAGGAGAATCACTTCAAGGCAGAGATTGCTGTGAGCCAAGATCGCACCACTGCACTCCAGCCTGGGTGACAGAGCGAGACTCTAAAAAAATATATATATATACACAAAACATTTCTCTGGAGCACCTGTTGCTGCTGCAGAAACATTTCTCGCTGCGTACTTTAGATAGTCTATATGGAAAAAAACATTACTTTCTGGACCTTTGCACTTTCCCCTCTCTAATCGAAGGCTTCTTTGAAGACTCGAACCTAGCTAACAGTCTCCTACTCCAATCAGGTCTTGTCATGATCCTGAGCATTCTTCAGTGTATATATGCACAATTGATCTGATGCTCTGGTCTCTCAGTGTCTTGATTTGTTGAATTACTCAAATGAACTACATTGCTATTCTCCTTCAGTCCTTCATTTCCTATGACAAAAACCCTACATCCACACTGTCCAATACAATAGCCATTAGCCACATATTGGGTATTTAAGTTCTAATTAAAGTTAAGTAAAAATTTAAAATAAGTCCCTCAGGCCGGGCGCAGTGGCTCATGCCTGTAATCCCACCACTTTGGGAGGCCAAGGCTGGCAGATCACCTGAGGTCGGGAGTTCAAGACCAGTCTGACCAACATGGAGAAACCCCGTCTCTACTAAAAATACAAAATTAGCCAGGCATGGTGGTGCAAGCCTGTAATCCCAGCTACTCGGGAGGCTGAGGCAGGAGAATCACTTGAAGCCGGGAGCTGGAGGTTGCCGTGAACCAAGACTGCCCCATTGCACTCCAGCCTGGGAAACAAGAGCGAAACTCTGTCTCAAAAACTAAATAAATAAATAAAGTAAGTCCCTTAGTCACACTAGTCATACTTCAAATGTTCAACAGCCACTTGTGGCTAATGACTATGAAACTGAACAGCACAAATACAGAACATTTTAATCACTGCAGAAAGGTCTGTTGGATAACACTGCCGTGAATCTTATCATCACAGAGCACTAAACCACAGTAAATAGTTAATGCTGCCAGCTATTGAACTGAACTCATTTTCATGAGTGAGGCATTATGCTAAGCATTTTACATATACTATCTCATCTGAAAATAACACTACATTGAAATGTAACATATATACAAATCACAAGTGTACAGCTCAATGAACAGAAAAGCTCCCCTTGTAACACTTCCTAATCATTAACCCAACCCTCCATTCCAAAGATAAATACTATCCTTAGTTCTAATATAACAATTAGTTTAGTCTGTCTTTGAACTTATTTATTTATTTATTTATTTTTGAAACAGAGTCTTACTCTGTTGCCAAGGTTGGACTGCAGTGGCATGATCTCAGCTCACTGCAACCTCTGCTTCTGAGGCTCAAGTGATATTTGTGCCTCAGCCTCTTGAGTAACTGGGATTACAGGCATGCATCACCACACGCCCGGCTAATTTTTATATTTTTTGTAGAGACAGGGTTCACCATGTTGGCCAAGCTGGTCTCAAACTCCTGGCCTCAAGTGATCCACCCATCCCAGCCTCTCAAAGTGCTGGGATTACAGGCAGGAGTCATCATGCCTGGCCCTGTCTTTGAATTGTATACAAATGGACTCACACCACTTATTTTCCTTTGTGTCTGGCTTCTTTCATGCACCATGTTTGTAAGATTCATCCATATTGTTGCATGAAGCAGTAGTTTGTTCACTTTTATTGCTATATATATCATTCCTCTGTATAGACCCACAATTATCAATTCCATTGTGCATGGACATTTATGTTGTTTTCAGTTTTACGTTATTAGAATAAAGCTCCTATGAATATTCTTATTCATATCTTTTGTTATACATGTATTTATATTAAATACAAATCTAGGAAAGTAAATTTGCTAGGTCACAGGATATGCATATATCAGGTTTAGGAGATACTATCAAATCGTCCTCAAAAGTGGTTGTGTCAGCTATACTCCCATCAGTGGTATACGACAGTTTCAACTGTTCCAATAACTTCACTAACAGTTTTTCACCTTAGTTATTCTTGGCAGGTAAGTAGTGACATCTCATCATGGTTTTAACTTCCACTTCCCTAATAACTGACAAGGTTAAGTATGTTTTCATGGTTTCTGACCATTTGAAGATCCTCTTTTGTGAAATAGTTTAAGTTTCTTCTCCATTGACAAGACTGGACTATCTTTTTCTAATGACTTGTAGGAGTTCTTTCTATATCATGGGTATGAGCCCTTCAATGGTTATAAATTAAGCAAGTATCTACTTCTACTCTGTTGCCTGCTTTTGCACTCACATAATGATATCTTTTGATGAAGAATTCTTAACTTTAATGTAGGACAGTGTATTGACTTTACATTTTATAGTTCTGCTTTCTATGTCTCCTTTAAGAAGTCTTTCCCAGTCCCAAGGCCATGAAAATATTCTCCTACATTATCTTCTGGAAGGCTTTACATTTGGATATCAGGTGGAGTAAATCCTCCAATTTAAAAAAAGTTTTTTAATAAATAAACATCTTGAACATAGTCATAGCCAGCCATCCCCAAAGGGGCAGAGGAAAGCAAATCACCATTTCTACTGGGTTCTGTATGTTGGCTGAGAAGGCAGGAATCAGGAATGGATACTCTTGACTCTTCATAAATTTTTAGTCAGCTACACACGTTTTACACACACACACACACACACACACACACACTTGCCAGCATAATGACTCAAATGACTAGAAATAAACTGGGATTTGCCAGTCTAAATAAATAGACTGTCATTTATTTAGGTCTTTTTAAATTTCAATAATGTTTTATCATTTCCTGAGTAGAGGTCTCACTCATCTTTTGTTAATATTTATTCCTAAAAATTTGATGCTTTTTGATGCTATTATAAATGTTCTCCATTTAAAAAAATTCATGTTCTGATTGCCAGTTGTTAGTATACAGAAATATCACTGATTGGCCAGGTGCGGTGGCTCATGCCTGTAATCCCAGTACTTTGGGAGGCCAAGGCGGGCAGATCATGAGGTCAGGTGATCAAGACCATCCTGGCTAACACGGTGAAACCCCATCTCTACTAAAAATACAAAAAATTAGCCAGGCCTGGTGGTGGGCGCCTGTAGTCCTAGCTACTCAGGAGGCTGAGGCAGGAGAATGGCGTGAACCTGGGAGGTGGAGCTTACAGTGAGCCGAGATCACGCCACTGCACTCCACCCTGGGCGACAGAGCGAGACTCTGTCTCAAAAAAAAAAAAAAAAAAAATTCGTTGATTTTTATATAATGACTTTGTATCTGCTTATCTTGCTAGATTCAATTCTCAATTCTAATAGTTATATCTATAGATTCTTTTGGATTTTCCATATGCTCGATTAAGTTGCTGTGAATAATAGTCTTATTACTTCTACTCCAAGCCTTACACCTTATATGTCTTTTATTGCTTTATTCATTGGCTAGGACTCCCAACAACAAAAGCAGCCATCGGGTAGAAATTCTAAACCTTCCTGATGTGCCCTCCCACCTGAAGACTCACTTGCATCTAAACCCAGCATGCTTCCTTTCCACTTATCATAATGGAAAAGGCATCCATTCTTCTATCGAAAACCCAGTCCTTCCACACTCATGCTCCATATCCCTGCCAATTTTCAATTTCTGTCTCTCTCTTCCTGGTCTCTATTTCTCTTCTCTGTCTCTCTCTCTCTTTTTCCCAACTGCATTTACACATACTCAAGACTCAAGTCTTTATACTCTTTAACAACAGCCCTTTTCAATTCCATGTCCTAACCAAGCAATTGGCCAGCCTCTCTCATTCCCTTTTAGTCAAGATTATTCAGCTGTCCAATCCTCTAGTTTATAATTTATTTTAACCTTCCATTCCTTGGAGGATATGTTACCACACCAATGGTTCTTCTTCACCTTCACACAAGGTGACCATACGACCTGGTTTGCCAGGAACAATCCTGGATTATTCCTGTTGTCCTGGCTCAATAATGAATAGATCCCCCTTTCATTCTCAAGCAGTTCTGGTTTAAGGGATGTGGTCACTCTCCGCCACAGCCTAGCCTACAAGGCCCTTAGTGATTTGCTCCATGCCTACCTCTCTATTCTACACTTAAATAGCTTAAGGTTTACCAATTGCCCCAATTTCTCTCCTACCACCATTTTTTGCACATGTTCCCTCTGCCTGAGACATCCTTCCTCTCCCTTTATCTGGGTTTAGAGTATTTTTTTGATTATATCTGGTAAAGCAAAACTCCCTTTGATAATCTATATATGAAATGGTGTTCTGTTGTTAAGAAAAGTTATTTGTTATACTAACCCACAAAAATATCAATGTTTTTCTTTCAACTCCACTTTTATGACCCCCATTGTGCCAACATAATAAACATATACATCTTTCAGTGACCTCTCATGATTTTTTTCTGAAGGTTTCAGATGGTCAGCTTCTTAAAGTTCTATCAGTACTTGAGGTCACCAAGGTGCCTGTTGCTCCAGGGTCACACTATCAAGGCACCAAAAAGAAACTAGAGCTACACAGTCTTGTCCCACTGGATGAATTTCCTGACTTTCTCTCTTTTCGTTTTTTTTCTATACACACAGACATACTTCAGACATGAATCATCATTCTGATGCCAAAGACAGACAGATAGTTTTGCTCTCACGGCTTGGGGTAAAAAAAGAGAAACAAAATTCTGGCTATTTTGGGGCCAATCTCCCTTTGCGAAAAGTAGGCTGGTGAACTGGTTCCAAAGATAATAAAAAAGAATGATGACTCCTCTGAGACATAGATTGCTCACAGGCTCCTAAAAGGAATGTAGACAGTGCTAAGAATACACAGCATAGCTACTCCCATTATAACTCTACAACCACATACTTTTCATCACTGCTTAAATGACATTGGAAGTCTATTTACATTCACATAGTGCATTTAAATGTGGTCCCTGAGATTTAGGCAGAACAGGTCACTACTCTTCTTTAGAGATTAAGAAACTGAGACTCAGGTTTAAAAAAAATTTTTTTTAAGTTTGCCAAAAGTCCAACAACTAAAAGGGAGAAGAATACTAGGTCTTGCAAACCCTGATCCAAAGCCTGTTCTTAACAGGACATGGTGACAGTAAACAATATTCACTAATTACTTCAACAAACTTATTAAATACCTATTCTGGGCCAAGAACAGTAACAGCCAAGGGATACAAAACATGTCTATGCCCTGGAGGAACATACAGTCTAGAGAGGAGTGACAGAATCAATAATATAGAAGGGAGCAGAATGGCTTGCAGTTCAACCTGCTCACTAAAGAAGACGCTGCATGGAGGACCTACTTTAGCATCATTCATTCATTGATTCAACAAGTATTTATTGAATTTCTAGGCACTGGCCTAGATGCCAGTAAGAGAGTGGTAAACAATTTGCTTTGCTTTTGCATTCAATATTTTACCTTCTTATTCCCCCTTACATGAATTGAAAGTATGTAACTTTTCTACATTTTGAGAATTCTTTTGTCTTTTTTACAGATTTGTATGCATTTGGGGGGATTTTCTTTTTGTCTTCTTTATTAATATGCAGGAGTTATTTATATATACACAGAATATTAATCCTTTGCCAACTGATGTATTTTAAGTATTTTCTCTTCTATCCATGAGTTGTCTTTTCCCTTTGACTGTGGTATCTTTTTTTGTTCAAAGGTTTTAAATTTTGAATGTTGTCAAATCCACAAATATTTGCCATTGTGGTTTATGCTTTCTGCTCTATCTTGACATCATAAAGATATCACCTATGCTTTTTTTCTAAGTTTAAAATTTCATTTTATACCTCTTATACATCTGAAATTTGTTTTTGTGTATCACATGGGGTAAAGAGTAATCTTCTTTTTTTCATATGGACACCCAATTGATCCAGTTTCATTTACTAAGTGATAATGTCTGATTTGTAACGCTCTATCATATACCAAATTTCCAGCTTTCTCCAAGACCCAAATCCAAATGGTTCTGTTTTTCAGCTTTCTCTTCCATTCCGCTAATCTATTTCTGTCTCTTATAACACCACCATACCATTTTAATTACCATAGTTTCAGTTAAAAACTTAATATCTGGAGTGGCAAGTCCACCAACTCCTTATTCTTTAAAAATATCTCTCCCCTTTCCCAAATTTTAAATGACTTTTAGAATCACCTTGTCAAGTTCTTTGACAGCCTAATTTTGTTGATTTATGCTTTTTTGAGAAATTATCCATTTTCATATAAGCTTTCAAATTTATTGGCAAAATGTATTTGTAGTAGCTTCCTGACAATTTTTCATCTCTACTATTACGTACTTTTCTTTTTTTCATTCTTAATATTATTTATTTGTGCCTTCGTTTTTTTCCTCCCAATCTAACCAGGGTTTATTTTATTACTTTTTTCACAGAATCACAGTTCAGTTGGTTTATGCTCTCTACTGTTTATTTCCCATTTCATTAGTGTATTCTTTTTGTTATTTTCTTCTTTCTATTTCCTTTGCTATTTCTTTTCTTTACCTAATTTTAAAATTTTAATGTTTAGATCATTAATTCTCAATCTGTCTTGTAATATATTCATTTAAGATTATAAATCAGACTTCCATAGATGCAGTTTTAACATGTGGTTTTCTCATTATCGTTCAGACTTAAATATTTCACAATTTCTATTATCATTTCTACTTCCACCAATGAATTATTCAGAAGTATGTGTGTGAGGTGGGTGGCTACTGTTTCATCAAGGGATTTCTAATTTTTTCCATTGTTGTCAAAGAATGTTATCTATGTGATACTGCGTCTTTGGTATTCTCTTTTTCCATAACAATTTAATTTCTTTTCTTAGTATTCTATGTCTGATATTAATTCTGTTTCCCAGCTTTCTTATGGTTAGCACTTGCCTGGAATATATTCTTCCATCACTTTCTTTTTCATTTAATTTTTAATTTGTAATTATGAAATAGTATAAACATTCATAAAATAGAGCACTAATGACATCTATGTACCAATCACAGAGATTAAATAGATGTTTACATCTTGCCCAAGGGAGGATATTTTCAATATTAAATTCATAGAGAAGAGAAAGAGCTTACAAAAAGGCTACTGAATTAACGAGAAAAGCCACAATGAATAGAGTGACTTTTCACTGTGAAATAACAAGACAATTGATAAAAGTTCTTACAGGATACAGATCCAAGGGAAAAAGGAAGACATTCTTAAGGTTATACATTAACCTAAAAATAACACCTTATTGCATTGTGAAAAAAAAAAGTGATGGTATCAATGAAATAGGGCACTAACAGAAGTCATTACTGAAAATATTAATATTCTGTCATGGTGCACCACCGACCTCTCTTGTGGTAGACTAAAAGAAAAGAGAATAGATAATGCATCTCTCAGGAAATCACATTCAATTCTGATACCTAGCACAACAGGTAAATGGAATACTTAGTTTCACTGGATGGAGTAAAAGAGGGTCACTCTAAATCACATGTAGATTAATAGTTTTCAAAGATGTATAATAAATTTACCATTAAAACTTTGTTTAATATAATTCATTTTTCTTTGGTGATTCCTAAGGCCCTTTAGAATTCTTCAGAATCTGAGATTCATCTGTATTAATAGAAATTATGAATTACAAAAAAAAAACTACCATTCATTTAGATCCTATTAAGCTCCAAACACCGTGTTTGAGTACTTTTCAAAATGTATTAACTAATCTGGTACTCACAACACTATGAGTAAATGGCATGATGTCTATTCCAGAGATATGGGAAATAGGGCTCAGAGCTGAAAAGTTGCCTCAAGTCACAACGCCAGAATGTGGCAGAATCCAAGTCTGAATTTCATTACATACATGCCCTGTATTTGTTTTTGCCACTACACCCTACTTTTTTTTTTTTTTTCTTTGAGACAGGGTCTTGCTCTGTTACCCAGGCTGGAGTGCAGTAGTATGATCTCAGCTCACTGCAGCCTCGACCTCCTGCACTCAAGTGATCCTCCCACCTCAGCCTCCCAAGTAGCTGGGATAGAGGTGTAAGCCACCACACCCAGCCAATTTTGTTCATTTTTTTTGTTTGTTTGTAGAGAAGAGGTCTCATTATGTTGCCCAGGCTGGTCTCAAACTCCTGGACTCAAGTGATCCTCCTGAATCAGCCTCCCAAAGTGCTGGGATTACAGGCATGAGCCACCAAGCCCGGGCCACACTGCCTCTTTAATGTTGTCATGTCTCCATTTTCCAGATATTATCTGAAAATGCCAATGTTTTGTTTTTGACTAGTATGGGAGAGGATCAGACCACAGGACTCAAGCAACATTTTATTTCTTCATCAAGGAAAGGGCACCGTCTAGTGGCACACACTTCATAACCAACACAAAGAAGGTTTTTCACTTTTCTGCTTTCCTCCACTGGTTTGACACTACCTTATAATGACTTACAGTATCTGAATTCACTCTTCTAGTCCAGAGGAATGGGAGCCTAGTAACATTAAGAATTGAACAGGGCTTTGAAATAAGACCCAAGTCCAATCTCAGATTCACCATTCCTATGTGACCTTGATAAGTTACTAAGAGTAGTTTGTGTCTCAGTCTCCTCATCTGCAAAATGAAATATGAGCATTTACCTGACAGGGTTATGATAGGAATGTGTATGAAAATCATCCAGCACAGCACCTGATCTGGGTTTCCTCTATGGTCCCTTTCTCCATTCTCCTTTTATGTACCCTATGTTCATGTGGGTGTTTTGCTTTGTTCTTTTTAGAAAATACATCATACCACTGGCTCACATTATGTTTAAGATAAATAACTCCCACAGTTCTTTTGTATGCAAACCATAGTAAAGGCAAATTTCCCAACATTTACTGATTATTTTCATAAATACATAAAATTAACAATAAGCATTTTTGAGTATTTATTATGTGCCAGGCAACTGTGACACTGAATAGGAACTTATTATCCAAGTGGAGACAACAGAAAAATTAACATGTAATACAATGTAACAAGTAATTTCATGGCTCTAAATTACAAATGTAAAAAAATAGGCCAGGCATGGTCGCTGGTGCCTGTAATTTCCAATGCTTTGGGAGACTGGGTTAGGAGGACTGCCTGAGGTCGGGAGTTAGGAGACTGAGTTAGCAAGACTGCCTGGGCAACACAGTGAGACCTCGTCTCTAAAAAAAAAAAAAATTTTAATTAGCCAGGTGTGGTGGTGCACACCTGTAGTCCTAGCTACTCAGCAGGTTGAGGCAGGAGGATTGCTTGAGGCCAGGAATTTGGGGATGTAGTGAGCTATAATCGCACCATTGCACTCCAGCCTGGGTAAAGAGCAAGATCCTGTCAAAAGTTGGGGGGAGAGCGAGGAGGGGGAGGAGAAGCAGGAGTGGGGGAAGAAGGAAAAAAAAATGTAGAGGATAGGGGAGAATTAAACCTGTTAGAAGTATGCGGATTAGAAAGGCTTCACAGATGAGGTAACATTTGAAAAGTCTCTTAAGCGATGAGCTCATCAGATAGGGGGTGCAGAACTTCCATGATATAAGAAAAAGAAAAAGTCAGAAGCAATGAGGAATGAAGAAGCACAGTGAGGGAAAAGGAAGAAACATAGTGTGATTCAAATATAGGATGGGATGGATGGGGCAAGGGCAAGATCAGTAGTGCAGTCAATGATAGCTCATTAAGCTCATTTGGAATCTAGATGCAGTATCACTACCATATTCATCATCATCATCATCGTTGTCATCCATAGCAGTTACTGTTTCCTATACATACATAATTGCTAAGCCTCATTACAACCGTACCAGTTATATCACGGTATCCTCATAAAAGTTAAGAAATGTGCCCAATGTCAGAGTCAGTAAGGGAAGAGCTGAGTAAAATTCAGCCCCAGGTCTCTCTGATTGTTTCTACACCAGTGGTCCCTCTTGGTTACACAACATAATTACCTGGATAATCTGTTTAAAAATAAAGGTTCCAGAACACTACACTAAAGCAGCCTATCTAGAAGGTGGACTTGGTAACTGTATTGTAAACAAACCCTCAAGATATTTCTTGACTAAAAGCCTCGGCAGTTTAATTTTTGGAAAATACTACAAAGCCTAGTAAAATGCACGTGTGTGCACACAGAGGGACAAACACACACATACATGTTTCTAATTATTAAGTTCCATCTATGTGCCAGGACCTAATCGTCACAAAATTCTGCAAGAAGAGTATTATCTCCACCTTAAAGAAGAGGAAACTAAAGCTCAGGAAGCTTATGATAGCTTCCCTTTTCCACTCAACAAAGGAATGGGTAAAAATGGGAATCAAACACAGGTATATTTGGTTCTTCTCTGTCATGCTGTGTAGTAGGCAGAATTTTAAGAATGACTCTCACAGACCCTTGCCCCTGTATAATCTCCTCCCCTTTGAGTATGGATGAAAACCATGAATATGATATCGCAGGAGTAATTATGTTACATTACATGGCAAAAGGGAGATTATTTGGTGGACCTAATCCGATGTCATCA
Source organism: Homo sapiens (assembly GCF_000001405.40). Lineage (NCBI taxonomy): Eukaryota > Metazoa > Chordata > Mammalia > Primates > Hominidae > Homo > Homo sapiens. The sequence continues at coordinate 51,655,513 of NC_000001.11, read as the reverse complement.
CATGAGGTCTTTTAAAAGCAGAGCATTTTCTGCAGCTGATAGCCGAATGGGAAGTCAGAAAGATTCAGAGCACCAGAAGGATTCAATGCACATCGCTGACATGAAGATGGAGGGGTCTAGGCCACGTGACCAAGAATACGTGCAGCCTCTAGAAGCTGAAAGCAGAACACAACTGACAGCCAACAACAACAAAAAACAAAAAACAAACAGGGCTTCAGTTCTACAATCACAAGGAATTGAATTCTGCAAATGCCCTGAATGAGCCTGGAAGAGGACTCTTCTTCAGAGCCTCCAGATAAGGGCCCAGTCCAGCCAACTCCTTGATTTCAGTCATACGAGACCTTAAGCACAAAACCCAACAGAGATGTCTGACCTATAAAACTGTGAAATATATGGGTGTTTTTGTGTGTATGGTAAAACATACTAACATGAAATTTATTATTTCAACCATTTCTAAGTGTATAGTTCAGTGGCATAAAGGACATTCACATTGTTCATGATGTGATGATCACCATCATCACCATCCATCTCCAGAGCTTTTTCATCTTTCCAAACTGAAAACTCCATACTCATTAAACACTAAGTCCCCATCTCCCGTACTCCCAACCCCTGGAAACCACCATTCTACTTTCTGTCTCTGATTTTGGCTACTCTAGGAATCCCACATAAGTGGAATCATACCCTTTTTGTCTTTTTGTAACTGGCTTATTTCACTTAGTCTAGTGTCCTCAAGGTTCATCTATGTTGCAGCATGTGTCAGAATCTCCTTCCTTTATAAGACTGAATAATAATAATAATAATAATAGACTGTATTTATATACCACATTTTTTATCCATTCATCAGTGGATGGCCACTTGGATCCTTTCCACCTCTTGGCTACTGTGAATATTGCAAATAATGCTATGAATATTGCAAATAATGCTATATATCCATGTTATATATCCTATGAACATGGATATATAAGCATCTGTTTCAGTCCCTGTTTCCAATTCTTTTGGAAATATACATATAAACACATATATAAGTGGTTGTTTTTGAAGCCAATTCATTACCTTTAAAATTTGGTAAATAATAGGAAATAATCAAGCAGTCATCTTGCCTATTTTAACTGCACCACTGGGTAACCAAATAATAGATGAAATGTCTCCTTATAAAATTATTTCTGATAAAAATTAAAACAAAATGATAGCCTGTCATTATTTTGCAACCCTCAGTGAGTTAATGGGTGTAGGTACTGAACATCAATAGCTGCTAATATCAACAAAGGGCAAAAACTAGACACTATGTTCTTCCTGCTAAAAGAACACACCACCACCTACAGTCTTGCCAAAGGGATCAAACCTAAGTCTGATCCAGTCTCTGGATCCAGCTGCCAATTTGCAGCAAAAACAATGGACAGAGGAATGTAGTGAACTGCACCACCGTGCAATCAGTAAAATCTATACTATGGAAAATTCTTATAGGTCAAAGGGTCTGGATTCCTTTTTTTTTTTTCTTTTTTTTCAGATAGGGTCTCAGGGTCTCACTCTGTCACCCAGGCTGGAAGGCAGTGGCACAATTATGGCTCACTACAGCCTTGACTTCCTGGGCTCAAGTGATCCTCCTGCCTCAGTCTCTCAAGTAGCTGGGACTATAGGCATGTGTCACCACATCCAGCTAATTTTTTAAATTTTTTGTAGAGATGGGGATCTCACTATGTTTCCCAGGCTGGTCTCGAACTACTGGGCTCAAATGATCCTCTGCCTCGCTCGGTCTCCCAGTGTTGGGATTAAAGGCGTGAGCTCCAGCACCCAGCCGGTCCAGATTCTTCAACAGACAAATTGTAAACAAAAGACATCAAGTTAAACAAATAGGTAAGAAAACTATAGGACTTAGGGATACACATTTGGGTAAAAAAGTTATAACCAAATGTAAGAAGTGATTACTTTAGGAGACATATAAGGGATGTAATTTATTTAATTGGGGCACGTGGAGAGGCTTCAGGTATAGCTGACAAAATTCTATTTCTTAAGGTGGTAGTTAGAAGGGTTAATAATTAATTAAGCTACATTTAAAAGCAAAAACAAAAAAATAAAGACAGACAAAACCAGTGGATTAACTGTAACAATGAGACAGTGGCCTAAATCCAAATGGAATTCAACTGCAGTGCTCTGTCAAGACAGTTCTGCTAAAGTCTCACTACTGAACTTATCTCAAGCCAAAAGAGCAGTTAATACCAGACTGACTGGTGACTGAGGTCAACAGCAAGTGCTTAGAAAAGTAATTACACCAAACAGACAAAAGAGAAACCAAAGGAAAATTTTAGAAAAAAAAAAACAAAAACTAGAAGTTGAATTTTTAAAAATCTTTGTGCTATCACATATATACCATCTGATTGAAACAAGCCTGTCTCATTTCCATCCTGCAAATCTCCCATACCTACTCCTATCTCAGTGCCAGGATTTTTCTATTATAATTTGGTGTCTTTCTCAGCGGTATTTCCCAGTTCTATCAAGGACTGTTAACAAGGGCAATAATATGTTTACCAAATATATTCACATCTTCAAAAGTAAGGATGCAGAAAAAAAGGTGGAAGAAAGAAGTCAACAGGGTCCTGAAGAAAAGGTTCCTAGAAGCTGATTAACCTAGTTATGATAGAGGCCACTTTTCTTCATATACAATGGGATACTAGAAACTGCATCCCTAGCCATGCATTCTTTCTTGCCTTTACCTATTTGAACAATGGTGGAAACTGAAAGCAGCATGAAGCTATAGGTCTGCACCATAAGGCAGCCACTAGTCACATGTGGCTATTGATCCCCTTCTCTGAAGTACAGCTAGTCCTAATTGAGATGTACCCTTTGTGTAAAAAACACACTGGATTTTGAATAGTTAGTATGGAAAGAAAGATTGTAAAATATCTTAATTTTTTTTTATTAATCACATGTTAAAATAACAATATTTCAGATATACTGACCTAGATAAAATATTAATTTTGCCTGTTTCTTTTTACTTTTGAAATGTGGCTTACTAGAAAATCTTAAATTATAGATGTGGCTAACATTGTATTTCTACTGGACAGCACTGCTATATATACCATGATTAAATAGTGCTGAACAGGAAAAACAAAGCAGCGGCAGCTAACAGTTGGGATTTTTCCATTTTTTCTACTGTTGATATACCACCAACACCATAACTCACTTAATTTCCAGCCCTTGTCTCTTGTCTGTAAAGTAGAGGTTTAAGAAAATCAGAACATGCATTAAGTCATAAATACAACATTGAATCATGGGCCAAAATAACTGAGTTCTAGTCCTGGTTCTGATACTGACTAACAGTTACTTGGAGAAATCACATTTTCTCTCTGAGACTTAGATACCTGCCCCAACAATTATGTAAGGAAGCTAAACTAAATTTAGACTTCCATAATTCTATCAGAATACAATTTTCTTCTGTCAAAATTGATTTTCATAAAAATGAATAAATACTCACTCTGAGTCTAACACATCCTCTGCGAGAGCCTCTCATCATTTTGTCCTTGGACTAAAAGAAAAACAAAGCATTCAATGAATAAAACATTAACAGACTGGTAAATTGTTTTTAGAATCATCTGGGGATAAAAGGACAAGATTTACAGTAATACCCATCCCTTCTGCCAATTTCTCTTCCAAAAAGAAATTACTTATGGATAGGAAAATAAACAGATTTTAAATGAAAATGTCATACAGTCTATATAAATTAACCTAATCATAGAACTTTACACATACCTTTAATGTAACATATATTACATCATTATTTTCATTCCTTCTTCATTCCCTTAAGTACGAATGTTTCTCATACTTTAGAGAGTCAGAGAACCACCTAGAAGGCTAAGAATCACCTGGAGGTTTAAGAATCACTCCCAGATAATTATTTTTTTTTGTTTTGTTTTGAGATGGAGTCCCGCTTTGTCGCCCAGGCTGGAGTGCAATGTCTCAATCTTGGCTCACTGCAACCTCCGCCTCCTGGGTTCAAGCGATTCTCCTGCCTCAGCCTCCAGAGTAGCTGGGATTACAGGCACCCGCCACCATGCTCGGCTAATTTTTGTGTTTTTGATAGAGACGGGGTTTCACCATGTTGGCCAGGCTGGTCTCGAACTCCTGACCTCAGGTGATCCACCCACCTCGGCCTCCCAAAGTGCTGTGATTACAGGCGTGAGTCACCGCACCCAGCTGCCCCCAGATAATTATGACAAAGGCAAACAGAAGACCATACCTCAAGAAGTATTGCTTTAGCTTTACCTCTGCAATTCCCCAAATGGGTAACATTTTTTGCTTCTGTGACTTCTCATCCAATGTCCCTCAGTTTGGAATTTTCTTGACCCAAATGTTCTGCCTCGTTGTCATTCCAAGCACCTTAGCTCTGTCTGATTTAGATTTCCACCCTGGGCTCCCAGAGTCTTCTGTGTGTTCCCCTGTTGTGGCATGCATCACCCTGTGTTATAATTGCTGGTTTACTTCACCCACAAGACTACACATACCTTAGGGGGTAGGAATTGTATCTGACTTATGCCTCAGAACAGTGTCTGGTACACATCAGGTGCTCAAAAAACATTTACTGATGAAATGTAACTTAGCCTTTCTGTGTCTCTTACTAAACTGAGCCAAGCAAAGCCTATGTTATGCAAAAGTGCTATGTTTACATTCAGTAAATATTCCTAAGAGTAAATTAGTCATGTGCAATACAACAAAGTAACATCTCAAATAATGGAAGTTGAACAAATACTTAATACTTGAACAACTGGTATTTTCCTGTACTCCACCTGTGTGAGAAAGCAGCAAAACAAGCCAATATTGAATGATTATGTTTTAAAGATGATTATCCCACATGAAACTATAGATGCCCTACATCCAAAGTCTTGAGCCGTAAGAATTCATGTTCAGAAGTGATTACCGAGATACTAAACAGAGTATTCTTTTTGTTCTAACTATAAATATCAGGAATCATATATTTTAGGAAAAAAATTTCTCAATACCAAGCAGAGTTGAAAAGAGTTCTTTACTAATAACACAGTGAAAGAAAACAGTTGATGAAAACATTCCTTAAGCATTTAGTCGCCCTTTTACTGTACCCTATACTTATCTTCCCTTCAAGTGTAAAGGAAATACACAAAAATAATAATTAGATTTGAAAATCCCTGATGAGGTTAGAATGCAAAATTAACCCAAACAAGGTAAGAATATATTCATCCTTGATCCTCTTCTACTATAACACAATTTTTTAAATAAAATTACAGTAAACAGAAAAAAGGCAAGACAGGTCCCAGTGGTAATACAACTATTAGGGTTACAAATTAAACAACATTAAGAGGGCCAATTATAATCCTAGTCGTTTCCTAATTTCCTAATCCAGCACTTTGGGAGTCCAAGGCAAGAGGGTCACTTGGGCCCAGGAGTTTGAGGTCGGCCTGGGCAACATGGCGAAACTCTATCTCTACAAAAAATACAAAATATTAGCTAGGTGTGGTGGTACACACCTATAGTCCCAGCTCTCAGGAGGCTGAGAGGTGGGAGGACTGCTTGAGCCAAGGAGGTCAAGGCTGCAGTGAGCCATGACCACACCCCTGCACTCTAGCCTGGGTGACAGAGCAAAACCCTTTTTTCAACAACAACAAAAAAGAAAAAACTAAGAGAGATAACTGAAAATAATTAAAACAAATACAACCAGGAAATAATCACGCAAATCCAGAATGTGTGACATTCTACAAAACAACTGGCTTAGATTCTTGCAAAATGTAAAAAAAAAAAAAAAAAAAAAAGACTAACATGTAAACAATCGTAATAGAGCAAAAATAAGTGCTGTGGACTCCAGAAGGCTCCTCCCAGTCAAGGAAAAAGATCAGGGAAGGAAGCAAAACTGAAATGATCAGGTTTCAAGTTTCAACCTGGGGCTTTAAAAAAGAAAGAAAGAAAAAAGAAATCTGATAAAAAGAAAGGGAAGGTAGTGGGGGAAAGGCCATTCCAAGACAAGGAAACAACATCAGCGAAGGCACAGATGTAGAAAACTTTACTTTCCTATTCATAGGAGAGTAGATGTACAGACAAGAGCACAGGGTGCAGACAGGAACTTACAGATAAGACTGAAGGCCAGGAACAGTGGCTCACGCTTGTAATCCCAACACTTTGGGAGACTGAGGTGGGCAGATCACTTGAGTGAGGCCAGGAGTTCAAGGCCAGCCTGGCTAACGTGGTGAAACCCTATCTCTACTAAAAATACAAAAATTAGCTGGGCATGGTGGTGCACACCTGTAATCCCAGCTACTTGGGAGGCTGAAGTAGGAGAATCCCTTGAACCTGGGAGGCGGAGGTTGCAGTGAGCAGAGATGGCACTGCTGCACTCCATCCTGGGAAACAGTGTGACTGTTTCAAAAAAATTAAAATTAAACATTTTTTAAAATGAGGCTGAAAAGAAGATTACAGGGACCAGATCCTGAAGGGTCTGAAAAAAAACATGGAGTAGTTAAGGAAATTTAACTTTATTCAATAGTTAATGGGGAGCTACTAAAGGTTTACAAAGAGGGCAATAGCATTCTTAAAGGTGTGTTTTAGAAAAATAACACCGTTAAATAAGAGGACTTGGAGAAAGGGATAATAGCAACATTAATAATAACAATAGCAGAAGCAGCAGATCCTCACTCATTGCTGCCCCTTATGTAACAGGCACTTTATATACAGTAAACCTTACAAGCCTTTGCATGGTAAGAATTATTCCTATATTAAAAATGAAAATGACACTAGGGATATCAAGTAAGTTACCCAGTGTTACATATGTAAAATGTGGCTGAGTTGCACAGTTGGAGATGCCTGTCCGGCAAATCATTCTCCCAGACCTTATCTGAGCTGTAATAGCATCAAATTATCCTCTTTCACAATAGCACAGGGCCCTCTCCCTCCCTCTCTCCACTCAGCTTTAATGCGGGGCTATAGGGAAGCTGGTGTGACTGCTTTCACCAGACACAGCCTTTTCTGATAAAGGAAGCTGACCAATCACAGGACCCACTACCCCACAGGGCAGGACAGAGTCATCTCCCAGGAAGTTTTTCAACCGGGGCAAAGGGAAGAGCTCCCTCCTATCTGCTCTTGAAGCTGTGAGGTACAGAGGCCACTGGTCCTGTGCCTTCTATGCGAAGAAAGCAAGCCTACACAGCAAGAGAAGCACAGAGATAAGGAGGAAAGTCCCAGCTGCCAGTGATCTTCAGCTACCTCCTGGTCTGAAGCAAATCTGTCTAAGCCAATGCCATTCACCAAATATTAGGTTATTTCTGATGAATCCTAGTAGCTTCTGGTAATGAAAGAAAGGTAGCTGACATAACGCCAGCAATCTTCCTACTGAGTGTTATCTTACCAATGTTCTGAAACCTGCTAACAAATGTCCTTTTTCAAGCAAATTGGCACAAATAGATATGTGGTCTACAGCCCAGTAACTGTCACTCTCTCTGCCTCCAGCTACAAGGCCCGGTACCTTAAAAAAGGACCACTCTGAAATGAATGCTACTGTCTTTTCAGCTGGATGACAAAACAGGATTACCCCCATGAAGTGGGAATATCGAACTGATATGTTCTACTCAGAAGGGGTTCTCGGGCTACTCCTGAGCTCAAGCAATCCACCTGCCTCAGCCTCCCAAAGTGCTGGGACTACAGGTGCGAGCCACTGTGCCTAGCCAAAAGTTGGTTCTTTAAAAAATCAACAAAATTGATAAATCATTAGCTAGACTGACCAAGGAAAAAAAAGGGGATTCAAAGTACTAAAATCAGGAATGAAAGAAAAAAAACATTATTACCAATCTTACAAAAACAAAAAAATTCTAAGGAAATACAAGGAACAACAAATTAGATGAAACCAATAAATTCCAAGAAAGATATAAACTGCCAAAACTGACTAAAGAAAAAATAGAAAATCTGAATAGACGTAAAATAAGTAAAAAGACTGAATTAGTAATCAAAAAACTTCTCACAAAGAAAAGCGCAGGCCCAGATGGTGAGTTCTATAAAATGTTTAAAGAATTAACGACATACCTTCACAAACTCTTCCAAAATATAGAAGAGCGAACACTTTCCAATTTTTTCTATAAAGCTAGTATTATTCTAATACCAAAACCAGAAAAAAAATCGTACGTAAAAAACAGTATCTGTTTCTAATATAGATGGACAAATTCTCAACAAAATACTAGCGAACAAAATCCAGCAAGATATAAAAAGGATTATATACTATGACCAAGTGGGATTTATCCCAAGAATACAAGGTTGAGTCAACGTATAAGAAACAATCAATATAATATACCATATTAATAAAATAAAGAACAAAAATCACATGATCATCTCAAAAGACACAGAAAACGTACTTTTAAAAAAATCTAACACCATTTCATGATAAAAACCACTCAACAAACTAGAAACAGAAGGGAACTTCTTTGAGTTAATAAGGGGCATCTATGAAAAGCCCAAGGTAACCGCATATGTAATGATGAAAGATTAAAAGCTTTATACCTAAGAACAAGACAAAAATGTCTTATCTTGCTACTCCTGCTCAACACTGTACTGGAGGTACTAGCCAGAGAAATCAGGCAAGAAAAGGAAATAAAGGCATCTAGATTAGAAAGGAAGAGTTTAAAGTATTTCTGTTTGAAGAAGACATAACCTTCCATATAGAAAATCCTAGGGGGCTGGGTGCAATGGATCACACCTGTAATCCCAGCACTTTGGGAGGCTGCAACAGGTGGATCACTTGAGGTCAGAAGTTCAAGACCAGCCTGGCCAACATGGTGAAACCCCATGTCTACTAAAAATACAAAAATTAGCTGGGAGTGGTGGGCGCCTGTAGTCCCAGCTACTCAGGAGGCTGAGGCTAGAGAATCGCTTGAACCCAGGAGGTTGTAGTGAGCCGAGATTGTGCCACTGCACTCCAGCCTGGGCAATGGAGCAAAACTCCGTCTCAAAAACAAAAAACAACAACAACAAAGAAAATCCTAAGGAATCCACACCAAAAACAAACTATTAGAGCTAATAAATGAGCTCACCAAAGTTTCAAACAGAAATTCAATAACAAAAATTAATTGTATTTCTATACTTTCAGATTTAAAAAATTTGGAGATATAACTAAGAAAACAATTCCATTTATAATAGCATCAAAAGGTAAAATACTTATTAATAAATTTAATAAAAGAAGCATAAGACTTGTACACTGAAAACTACAAAACAACACAAGGAAATTAAAGAAGACCTAAATAAATAGAAAGATACCTCATGCTCTTAGATTGAAAGACTTAATGTTGTTAAGATGGCAGTACTCCCTAAATTGATTTACAGATTCAATATAATACCTATCAAAATCCTAACTCCCCTTTTCTGTTGTAGAAATTGATAAGCTGATGCTAAAATTCAGTGGTTTTGCAAGGGACCCAGAATAGCCAGAACAAACTTCAAAAAAAGAACAACATTGGAGGACTCACACTTCTCAATTCCAAAATGCAACACAAAACCACAGTAATAATAGACAGTGTGGTACTGACATTAGGATATGCATAGGATCAATGGAATAGAATTGCAAGTATAGAAATAAACCCATACATACATAATCAAGTGATTTTTTTTTACAAGAGTGCCAAGACTATCCAATAGGGAATAGTCTTTCCAACAAATGATGATTAAACCATATGTAAAAGAATGAAGCTGGATACCTACCCTATGCCATAAAAAAAAGTTAACTCAAAATGGATCCAAGACCTAAATTTAAAGGGTAAAACTATTAAGTTCTTAGGTAAAAACGTAGGTATAAATCTTTGTGACCTTGGAATCAGCAATGGTTACATGATACCAAAAGCACAAGCAATAAAAGAAATATTAATAAACTGGGCATCATCAAAATTAAAAACATTTGTCCTTAAAGAACACTATCACACTAAGGCAGGAGGATCCCTTGAGCCCAGGAGTTTGAGGTTATGATGAGCTATAATCATGCCACTGCACCATAGCCTGGGCAACAGAATGAGACCCTGTCTTAAAAAAAAAACCAACCAAACAAACAAAAAACACTACCAAGAAAGTGAAAAGACAAACCAAAGAATGAGAGAAAATATTTGCAAATCATATATATCTGGGTAGGGGTATAGTATCGAGAATATATACAGAACTCGCACAACTCAACAATAAAAAGACAACCCAATTTAAAAATGGGCAAAGGATGTGAGTAGATATTTTGCCTAAGAAAATCAAGTTAAGAAGATAGTTTCAGCTGGTGATAAGTGTTAAGAAAATAAAGGAAGGTGATTGTCTTAGTGCATCTTGTGCTACTATAACAGAATACCAGAGACTGCATAATTTATAACAGAAATTTATTTTCTCAAGTTTTAAGGGGCTGGGAATTCCAAGATCCAAGCACCAGCATCTGGTGAGAGCCCTATTTATCGCAGAGCAGAGGGTGGAAAGGCAAAGAGTACAAGTGAGCGAGCCCTTTTTGTGATGGCGTTGATCTGTTTACAAGGGGACTGCCTAAACACTTTCCATTAGCCCCCACTTCCCAACACTGTTGCAGTGTTGCAGTTAAGTTTCCAACACATGAATGCTGGGGGACACATTTAAATTAGAGCAGTGATGATCAGAAAGTTATTGTTGGGAAAGGAGGTTCTATTTTAACTTAAGTAGCTTGAAAAAGCTCTTCAAGGAGTTGATACAAGAACTGAGATTTGAATTAGAGGACCGAGTAAAGTGAAGAATCTGCGGGCAAAGTCCCAGGCAGAGGGAAGAGCAGGAAATGATTCATCAGTAGACTTGCTCTCCCATTCTCGGCAAGGGCTATTTCACATTTTCTCCACTCTCTCCCTCAGCACATCTCCACCTGGCTTTCTCAAAGGCATTTAAAACTCAACATGGGCTGGGCGCGGTGGCTCACCTCTATAATCCCAGCACTTTGGGAGGCTGAGGCGGACAGATCACATGAGGTCGGGAGTTCAAGACCAGCCTGGCCAACATGGTGAAACCCTGTCTCTACTAAAAGTACAAAAATTAGCCGGGTGTGGTGGCACACGCCTGTAATCCCAGCTACTAGGGAGGCTGAGGCAGCTAGAATTGCTTGAACCTGGGAGACAGAGGTTGCAGTGAGCCGAGATTGCGCCACTACACTCCAGCCTGGGCAACAGCGCAAGACTCCGTCTCAAAAACAAAACAAAACAAAACTCAATATGTATAAAACTAACTCGTGATCCTGTCTCTCTTCCATCCAATCAATCAAAGTCCCCTCATTTCTGTCTCATAAAAGCTCTCAAATCTTCTTTCATGAGGTCATAAGGGAAAAAGAAAAACAAACTCTCAAAACCTTTCATTTAACCTCATCTCTACCATCAACCACCCCAATCCAGCCCTCTACAATACATCCCAATATTGTATCACCTGCTTTTTTTTTTTTTTTTTTTTTTTTTTTTAGACAAGGTCTCACTCTGTTGCCCAGGCTGGAGTGCAGTGGCACAATTTTGGCTCACTGTAACCTCTGCCTCCTAGGCTCAAGTGATCCTCCCACCTCAGCCTCCAGAGTAGCTGGGACTACAGGCATGTGCCACCACACCCAGCTAATTTTTTTTTTCCTTGTAGAGAAGGGGTTTCGCCTTGTTGCCCAAGCTGCCTCAAACGCCTGGGCTCAAGCGATCTACCCACCTCAGCCTCCCAAAGTGCTGAGACTACAGGAGTGAGCCACCGTACCCAGCCTGTATCACCTTCTAATTCTTCTCTATCTCTTCTTCCTCTCCTCCAATCCTTTCTCCACACAGGAGCCAGGAGTCTTTTCAAAACATGAATCTGATCAGGTTACTTCTTCGATTAAAAAACAAAACAAGCAAGCAAGCAAAAAAAAGTACTTCATGGCTCTACATTGCACTTAAAATAAAATGCACATTTATCAATTTGCTCTCTCTAGAGACCCTGCTTGGCCTGGCTCCAGCCTACCTCAAAATACCCCATCATCCCTGGGCCCCACCCACACTCATCTTTCAGTTCCCTGAACCAGCCAATCACTTTCTTGCCTAAGGACTTTTACATGGATTGTTCTCATTGCCTGAAGTGCCTTTACTCATCTACCCTCACTCTTTTTACTGGCTAATTCCTACTTACCCTCAGTTCCCTGAGGAGGGAAGCTTTACCTGAACCTCTAGAGCAGATAGCCAACCCTTCACTTCTAACAAGGATATAATAAAACCCTTTTTTTCCCATAATACTGTGGGAAAATAAAATCCTATGGGCTTGAGTGTATCCCCCAAAAGTTCATGTGTTAGAAACCTAATCCCTCCGTCCTCATGAATAGATTAATGAGGACTCTGTCCTCCTTGATGGATTAATGTCACTATCACAGGAGTGTGCTCTTTATTGATGGAGTGACTTTGTCGTAAAAGCAATTTCCCTCACCTCTCTTGCTCTACCTCTCTCACCATGTGATGCCCTCCACCATGTTATGAAGCAGCAAGAAGACACTATGCTCTTCCAGCTGCTAAAACCATGAGCCAAAATAAACTTCTTTCCTTTATAAATTATCTAGTCTGTGGTATTCTGTTATAGCAACAGAAAACAGACTAAGACATAAAATGTCCATGGATTTCTCAATGTTCTTCTAAAAAGCTCTAGGGTCCTGGCAACATTTCTGCATGCCATAAGGATTAGATCTTTTGTTTTCAACTGGTCTGGAAGGATAATAAAACCCTCTCTCATTTCCCAGAGAAGTTTGAAAGGTTACAGCCTGGAGCAGTTCCCTAGGCCAAGCTTCCAAGGTGCTAAGAAAAGGGGTACAGCTATCTCCCTAGATATTTGTATGTAAAAAGAGATAAAACTCCAGATATGCCAAAGGGTTGGAGTTAGGATTTAGGCTTATTACCTTTCCTAAGTGACCATTTCATGAGGGGAGGGGGACAGTTGCCTATTTCCCCTTCATAGGAGAGAAAAATAATTTTTCCTTGTCCCCCACCTACAGAGTGTCTGGCTACTCACGCAGGACAATTGACCTGGCTTTTATAGCATCATCCTAGGGGTAAGGACTAGGGCAAAAGCAGGCCAATACATTTATTATTATGAAATGTCTCTGATCCAGAATACCTTGTGTGCATTCATGATAAAATTAACAAAGATAAATAATTAAGAGCCTGCCAAGTACTTTATAAATCTGTAATTAAACAATTCTGAAATTACTTAATTTCATCATCCCTATTAGCCTTAAATTCTAGGAGAATATTGACCTATTACACAGAGGAAACTCAAAAAATATTGAATAAATGATAGGACGGAGACACGTAAGTACAGCTAGCCATTTAAATTTTCATTAACGTAACCCTCAATTTTATGTACTATGCCTCAACAGCCAGTAATTTGAAGCTTCTATTCTTATTCTGATTATGTTGGTCAGAAAATTAAAATCGGCTGCCCAAAGACAAATTAAACTTCACAGATTTTAGTGTGTTACTAAGTCTGTTAAACCTGCCTCAAAGGAAAAAAAAACATTTGGCCTTTACGCTAGCTACCATCTTTATAACCACTTGACACTTACCTTTTTTAAAAGTCAGTACTTTTTCTGTAAAGAAACATCTAAGGAATGCTGATTCCAAACATTCTAATCAATACTGTGTGCCTAGATCTAGGCAGCAAACACCTTAGGATATCTAGATTCTCTTCGATATACTGTCAGTGTGAAAATCAATTTATTCTGTAGATCTAAACAGATATTTATCTCGGCATTGACCCGGTGCTCCCAGGAAGCTGAGAAACAGATCCTAACCTCCAACTGTTACATTATCAAAATAGTTGGTGATATAATCAACACATTTGTAAGGCCCTGCTAGAAGTAATCTAGGATGGGGTTAAGCAACCAAAAGCAGCTTTTTGCTGGCTATAGAATAAAGAACCTTCTGGAAATCAGTAAATTAATAAAATCAGAAACAATTTTTATTTTCCCAGGGTAAGAAATTTCTGAAAGAGTCACATAAGTCTATCAGAAAGTAGAACTTATCTTGCCAAAATTAATTTCACAAACTATTCTAGAAAATATCCTTCTATGGCTTACTTAATGTGAGAAACATGTATTTATAGGAATACATACTGTAATGGACTGAATGTTTACATCCCCACAAAGTTCATATGTTGAAATCCCAACCCCTAAGATGATGGTATTAGGAGGTGCGCCTTTGGGAAGTGATTAGGTCACAAGGGCAGAGCCCTCATGAATGGGATTAATTCCCTTATAAAAGAGGCCCCAGTCAGAGCAAGGTAATGACCAACAATGAGATGACCTGCATTCTCAAGAGAATAGCTCATAATAATCTCAAATCACACAGCGGTCTGCCTGCTTGGTCCATTTCTTAAATCCTTAGGAAAAAGTAATTTTAAGAACATACTAAGAACTATTTAGCTAAATGTCAGTCTTAAATCTGCTTTAATATGGCAACGCACAGTGGCTCACACCTGTAATTTCAGCATTTTGGAGGCTGAGGCAGGGGGATCACTTCAGGCCAGGAGTTGGAGACCAGCCTGGGCAACATAGTGAGAACCCATCTCTAAAAAAAAAAATTTTTTTTAATTAGCCAGGTGTGGTGGCACACACCTGTAATCCTAGGTACTCAGGGGGCTGCGGTGGAAGGATCCTGTTAGCCCAGGAGTTAGAGGTTACAATGCACTGCACTCCAGTCTGGGCATCAGAGTGAGAGCCTGTTTCAAAAAAAAAAAAAAATTATCTTTACATTACTATTATTCCCACCCTATCTTTCAGAACCTAATTAATGCCTGGGACCTGGAAGGTATTATTAATAGATAAATGTCTGCTCAATGAATGGTCCCAGACCACTTTCCCAGTTATCTTACTCATCCAACAAACATAATTCACTCAAAATATGCCCATTCAGTCCCAATTCAAGCTATTCAACACTCCCAAGTAACACAGGGGAAACCTTTTCCCCGGTTCTGTAAACTTTCAGTCCTCTTCAATCAAATTTTTACAACTGTATTTTAAATTATTACAATAAAACAATTAGAGATTAATAATATCTAATAAAAAGCACTAAATCAAAAGCACAAAAGTAACTACTTGATTATATCTTGATTGTAACTACTTAATTGTATCTCCAACAGGACTGCAAGCTTTTAGAAGATTAGTTCAGTTTATTCCTAGCACATACTAAGTACTAAAAACATCTTATTAAGTTTAAAAATTAACTCATAAAATCTAGCTTGGTGCCAGTATATACTGCAATCAATAAAAACCTGTTTAATTGGAAATATAAATATGAGTTTACAAAGTAAATGTGTCTGAAAAAGTTTTGTGCAAACATATTTAAAATTCAGTAAGGAAGATTTCCTTGCCATTTACATTAATTCTACAATCCTTTTATAAAGCAAAGAATGGCCAAGTATGGTGGCTCATGCCATAATCCCAGCACTTTGGGAGGCTGAAGTGGGAGGATTGCTTGAGCTCAGGAATTTGAGACCAGCCTGGGCAACATAGTGAGACTTCCTCTTTACTAAAATTAAAAAAAAATAAAAATTAGCCAGACATGGTGGTGTGTGCCTATAGTCCCAGCTACTGGAGGGCTGAGGCAGGAGGATTGCCTGAGCCCAGGAGGTCAAGGCTGCAATGACCCCTGATTGCGCCACTGCACTCCAGCCTGGACCACAGAGCGAGACCCTATCTCAAAAAAAAAAAAAAAAAAAAAAAAAACAACTAGGAATGCCTCCCCGAATCTGTTACATGAGGACACTTAAATTTATTTGAATGTTAATTTTACTTTGCTTAAAGTACACTGTGTTGAAGATCAAGCAATAAACTCACTGACTTGCTATGAATCTCTCACAGCTAAAAGTGAGGTCTCCTTCTGAACTTATTAATATACAGCATGCCATATTACTTTTCTTAAGGCACTTATTATTTCTATCTTACATGATAATAACGTATGTGCATGTCTCATCACTTCTCCCAAAGGTAGTTTCTGACTCATCCTTGTCCCCACCACCCCAACTCAATATGCTACCCTTGCTACACTGTACTTTGCAAAGAACATTTAACATGTTGATGGTAGAAGACCTGGGGACAATGAACGTGGACAAATGTCACAACAGTTCCTCTCCTTTACGCATAAATGTAAACACTGTTTCCACATTGAGAGACATGTTAGTTCATTTCCAAGTGCATATGAGGTTGCACACATAGCCAGTGTTGTACCTTCGACCATCTACTACTGGCACACAGGAGGAAAACTTGACAGGCAAACTAACCCATGAAGACAGGAATCACAAGACGCTGGTTCTAGGGCATGGGACAGACAGGAAAGGGACAGGAGGGAATTTTGCAGGAAGATAACAATGCTTCATATTTTGATTGGGATATTAGTGACAAGGCTGTAAATAAATGCAAAGACTCAACTAATTATACACTTAAAATATGTGTTTTTTACTGGAAGAAAATTATACGTCAATAAAAGTAAATTAATAAATAGTACTTGACAAAATTCTACGAAGATACACTAATTACAACAGTTACAAAATAGGAAATGATAGCAGCAACTCTCACTCACTCCTGTAGTTTTTTTTTTAAGGCATTCTTGCTATGTTGGCCAGTCTGGTCTTGAACTCCTGACCTCAAGCAATCCTCTGGACTTGGCCTCCCAAAGTGCTAAGATTACAGGTGTGAGCCACTGCATCTGTTCAGATTTTTATTTTTATTTTTATGAGACAGAGTCTTACTCTGTCACCTAGGCTGGAGTGCAGTGGTGCAATCATAGCTCACTACAGGGGCACACCACCACACCCAGCTAATATTTTTGTATTTTTTGTAGTGACAGGGTTTCACCATGTTGCCCAGGCTGGTCACTAACTCCTGAACTCAAGGGATCTGCCTGCCTCAGCCTCTCAAAGTGATAGGATTACAGGTATGAGCCACCGTGCCCCGCCTTTCTTTTCTTTAAAAAAAATTTTTTTTATACAGGTAGAGTCTCACTATGTTGCTCAGGCTGGTCTCAAATTCCTGGCCTCAAGCAGTACTGGGATTACAGGTGTGAGCCACCACACCCAGAATGTAGTCTCCTTTCTATTTAAGAGAGCACGGACTCCTAAAGCCATCCTGATAGCATTTAATGTACTAGAGACCCTTCCCCAGTTACTGCCTTGGGACACTCAATAGCCCCAAATGTCATTATGCTTCCAGAAAGCTACACCAACAAAAACTCTTGAGTAGTCACAGACTCACAATAATGGAGAAATTTTCCCCATCACTCATCCTTCAAGTTATCATAGATAACTATCTCATCCTTCCCTCCTTTCCCTGTCAGTTACAGATGGTCTCATTTTGAGCATCAGATTTAATGTCTATTGATTCAATATACAAAAATATATCAGTAAACAAGGTAATGGTGATTTTGGGGGTCTCTCCAAGATCCTGGGAACAAGGCTGCCTTCCCTTAAAGAAAAGAGACATATATCAAAACAGAGATATATACAAGATCATCTTTAAGAGATGGAACAGCCTGGAGATCATTATACTAAGTATTTTAGAACTAGAGAAAGAAGGCCAGAACTAATATCAGAAGGCAAGGATAGAAGTTTTTTTGACCCAAAGATTAAACCTGTTACATTCTGGTAATAGGTATGTCTCTAACATGGAGATACTGCATCTTGATGTCAATATCTAATGCCACTAAATACCTATAACATATAACTTTGGTCTGATGCTGCTTATAATTTGGCATCCCAAAGAGTTTGCATTCAGAGAATAAATGTATCAGTTAGATAGCCTAAATGTAGAGTCTTCTTAAGTTATATTTCTTGTTGTGAATTAATAAATTGGAATACTGATTCATATAATGGTGACCACTGTGTACATTTAGTGAATATTACTATGTCAAACACCTCCATAAACTTTAGCTTTTTGTTATCATTTACTGAGCACTTATGTGCCAGACACTGTGCTAGTGCTTTAAATACTATTTTATTTAATTCTCACAATGATCTTATGATATTGGTTCTTTTATCATACCCATTTTATTTAGTTTTATTTATTTATTTTTTTGAGACAGAGTTTCACTCTTGTTGCCCAGGCTGGAGTGCAGTGGTGTGATCTCGGCTCACTGTAGCCTCTGATTCTCCTGCCTCAGCCTCCTGAGTAGCTGGGATTAAAGGCATGCGCCACCAAGCCCGGCTAATTTTGTATTTTTAGTAGAGACGGTGATTCACCATGTTAGTCAGGCTGTTCTTGAACTCCTGACCTCATGTGATCCACCCACCTCAGCCTCCCAAAGTGGTGGATTACAGGCGTGAGCCAACATGCCTGGCATGTTATACTCATTTTATAACTGAGGAATCAGTGACAGAAAGGTTGGAGTAACTTGTCCACAGACTCACAGATAGCAAGTGAGAGAAACAGGATTTGAACCTAGGTATGGATCCAAAGGTACATTTGTACCACAGTCACTATAAACCTGGTTAATTTAAGTCTTCCTTAAAGGTTTTTCTCAACCACAAAGGCTGGGTGTAAAATCAGTGATCTTTCTGAATTCAGAGGAGTATGTCACCCTGTAAAGCCTCTCAGCAGTGCCTCAGAGGGCGGTAATGCTGACTTCTGAACCATCTCTAGCATGTAAATTCCTAGGTCACTAGATTACAAATACATGTCCACATCCCTTATCCCAAGACCTTTGGATCAGATGTGTTTTGGAAATGACAATTTTATTTATTTATTTATTTATTTATTTTTAAAGTAGAGATGGAGTGTTACTCTGTTGCCCAGGCTGGCCTTGAACTCCTGGCCTCAAGTGATCCTCTCACCTTGGCCTCCCAAAATGCTAAGATGACAGGCATGAGCCACTGTGCCCAGCCTTCACAATTTTAGAAAGGTAAGACAATTTGGGTTGGGTGTGGTGGGTCATACCTGCAATCCCAGCATTTTGGGAGGCCGAGCCAGGAGGATTACTTGGGCTCACAAGTTCAAGACCAACCTGGACAACATGGTGAAACCCCATCTCTACAAAAAATACAAAAATGAGCCTGGTGTGGCAGTGTGCACCTGTAGTCCCAGCTACTTGGGAGGCTGAGGTGGGAGGATGGTTTCAGCCTAGGAGTCAGAGGATGCAGTGAGCTGAATCATGCCATTGCACTCCAGCCTGGGTAATAGGGCCAGACTTTGTCTCAAAGGGAAAAAAAAAAAAAGAATGAAGTGGCATCCAGGAGAGGTGGCAAATGCCTATATTCCTAGTTACTGGGGAGGCTGAGGTGGAAGGATTACTTGAGCCTAGGAGTTTGAGGCTACAGTGAACTATGATCATGCCACTAAACTCCAGCCTGGATAACGAAGCAAGACCCTGTCTCAAAAAAAAAAAAAAAAAAAAAAAAAACAAGAGAGAGAGAGGAAGGAAGGAAGGATTGATTTTAGAAAGGATACACACACACACACACACACACACATATACATACATACAGTACATAAATTGTGTCACCTGCAGTGAGGTCTAGGGTAGCCAAGGATATTAATTCCACAACCAAGCATATTAATATATCTATAGTACAACAAACAAATATTTACACTAAGCATGATAAAGATTATAAATAGCCACACATCAGTTCAAGATAGGCTTTACTTCCAAATGAGCGTATCATAAATTTAGGGGGAAAAATCTTTTTAATTCAGGGCTGTAGAGATTTCAAAATTGCAGGCAGAGGATTGTGGACATATGGACTTTGATCTAGTGGCCTATAACATTGTCGAGTCTCAGGTTTTTCACTGTTTTTAAAAAAGGATAATTTTATCTTCAAGTCAGAATTTCAGGACAACAGGTGAGTGGAGAGAACCACTTTCACGGAGCTCAATTAAGCACAGCCATGATGACTTAGGGTTTTTGCATCCCTTATAAAGTTAAATATTAAAAACTAAATAGTAGCCCAAGTTCTGCAAACTACTGATAGCATGTTAGTAATATATGCTGCACCTTGAAGGAAATCAAAATATACCACCCCAAAATATACTTCTTTGGCATATTTTGAGATAGCTATTCTCAGAGGGGCTGCAGACACGAGAATAACTCTGAAAAGCTGTACTTTGGTAGGGGAGACTTGTATCTGCAGAGGTAATCTACATTAGTGGAGTAACAGCGAGGTGCAAACACCTTTTTCTGAGACCTCCTTATCTGCCTTATCTAATCTAGGAAGATTACCTCACAGGAAAAGGAGACCAAAGTTCTGACATTTTTTTTTTTAATACAGATGGGGTCTATCTATGTTGCCCAGGCTGAACTCAAACTTCTGGGCTCAAGGGATCTTCCTAACTCAGCCTCTCCAGTGGCTGGGACTATAGGTATGACCCATCACACTCTGCTCTTGACACACTTTTCGAAGTCTGACAGAGAAACTTTTCCCACAGGTAAAATGATCTACTGAGAGATTTCTCCTGCATAACAAGACGGCCCAGCCCTTGCTGGCCATGGGATATGTTTGCCTGTGTCTCCACCCAAATCTCATCTTGAATTGTAGCTCCCGTAATTCCCACATGTTGTAGGAGGGACCTGGTGAGAGATAATTGAATCATAGGGCCAGTTTCCCCCATACTGTTTCTTGTGGTAGTGAAAAAGTCTCATGAGATATGATGGTTTTCAGCGGTTTCCCTCTTCCCTTGGTTCTTATTCTCTCTTTGCCTGCCCCAGCGTAAGACATGCTTTTCGCCTTCTACCACGATTGTGAGGCCACCCCAGCCATGTGGAACTGAGAGTCCATTAAACCTCTTTTTCTTTATAGATTACCCAGTCTCAGGTATGGCTCTGTCAGCGGCGTGAGAACAGACTAATACACCATGTTTCCTCCTCTCACTCTCATACACTGCAGCAACCCCTTCCCCACAACCCCAGGATACCCTTAACCCTCTATTCCTTTCTGCATGGTATAAAACTTCAGTTGGCCTTTCTTTGAGTCTCATATTTTGTATGGCTCCCATGCTTATGCACGTGAATAAATTTGTATACCTTTTCTCCTGTTAATCTGGCGACTGTCAACTCATTTCAGCCGACTTGGATTCAAACCTTCAGAGGGAAAGTTTCAACTTCCCTACAACCTCGACACAGATTTTCTATTTTTGTTTTGTTTTTCACATACCACCCAAAATACTAAATATTGACTTGTGTTTATTCACAGAGTTGATTAAAGGAAATAATGAGGGAGTGTTAAACTCTGTTTTATGCTCCTCCACCATCAGTACTTCTCCCACCAAACTGTGAAATGACAATCCATTATTAACATTCAAGTTCACTCCTCTACCAAAAATTGCCCAAGGACCTTTTTCCCTATTTAGCAAAGACTAATAGAGGGCCCAGAATAACAAGATTATAAAAAGGGAACAAGAAGAACACTACAAAAATGTATAGAAGATAGAAAAATTTGTGCAACACACAAAAATGTGGTTAGCAAGAACAACAGCTAGACCCATGAAATTTCAGATGCTTAGTCCTAATTCCAAGTCTCATCCTATAGACTCCAATTTAGAATGGGGCTATGCTCCAAAAGCTCCTTGTTCAAATCTGGAGGTTGGGGCTCAGGAAAAATGTTTGCAATGAAAAACTGTTAATAATTATTTCCAAGCCAGGTAAGGCGGCTTACACCTGTAATCCCAGCACTTTGGGAGGCTGAGGTGGAAAGATCACTTGAGCCCTGAAGTTTGAGACCAACCTGGGCAACATAGTGAGGCCCCATTTCTACAAAATGGTTTTTTTAAAATTAGCTGGTGTGGTGGTTCACACCTGTGGTCCCAGGTACTCTGAAGGCTTAAGTAAGAAGACTGCTTGAGCCCAGGAGGTTGTGGCTGCAGTGAACCATGATCATGCCCCTGCACTCTAGCCCCCGTGACAGAGTGCAAGACCCTGTTTTCATTTTATTTTATTTTATTTTATTTTATTTTATTTACTTTATTTTTTGAGACAGGGTCTTGCTCTGTTGCCCGGGCTGGAGTGGACTGGCAGGAACACAGCTCACTGCAGCCTCTACTTCCCAGGCTCATTGATCCTTCTACCTCGCACCCATTCCCCCATCCCCACCCAGTAGCTGGAACCACAGGCATGCATCACCACACCTGGATAATTTTTATTTTTTATTTTTTTGTAGAGACAGGGGTCTCCCTACATTGCCCAGGCTGGTCTTGAACACCTGGGCTCAAGCAATCCTCCCGTCTTGGCCTCCAAAGTGCTAGGTTTACAGGTGTTAGCTACCTCACCTGGCCTTATTTTACTTTTATAATAAAGATAAAAGTGGCCAGGTGAGATGGCTGACACCTGTAATCCCAGCACTTTGGGAGGCCAAGGCGGGTGGATCGCCTGAGGTCAGGAGTTCAAGACCAGCCTGGCCAACATGGCGAAACCACGTCTCTACTAAAAATATAAAAAAATTAGCCAGGCGTGGTGGCGAACACCTGTAATTCCAGCTACCTGGGAGGCTGAGGCAGGAGAATTGCTTGAACCCAGGAGGTGGAGGTTGCAGTGAGCCAAGATCCAGCCTGGAGGACAGAGTAAGACTCGGTCTCAAAAAAAAGAGAAAAGTATTTTTTAAAAGGCAATTTAAAAACTCTCATTTTTTTTTAATCAAGTCTAACTTTACTTCAAAATACATGGGTTTCCAAAAAGAAATGAAGGCAGAAGAGTTAAAATGACTTTCATTTTAACTAGTCACAGAGGATGTTGCCTGTCAGAAATTTAAACTTACTCCTCTTTCAGGTGATAAAATTCCAAGGTAGACCCTATCTTCTTTGATAATTTG
This sequence comes from Homo sapiens, assembly GCF_000001405.40. Lineage (NCBI taxonomy): Eukaryota > Metazoa > Chordata > Mammalia > Primates > Hominidae > Homo > Homo sapiens. The sequence goes on along the minus strand of NC_000001.11, from coordinate 51,632,755 downwards.
CCACTGCCTTTCTATACTTATGCCATGTAAACATAAAAAACCCATCACTCACAAATTCTGAGACTTTAGTATCTGGTCCCCGCCACTTCTCCCCCCATCGCAGGCTTTCCATTGAGGTAAGAGGAAGAGTCTTTGCTTAACCTAGCATTATAATAGATCACTGTAATTTACAAAGGCCTCTGCAGAAAGTTTATTTAATTGTGATAATGATGTAAATTATTTATCATCTGCCAGCAAACTAGTGATAACAGGTTTATCATCATTCTAATCACTATTAATCTAGTGTATCCCAGAAAGAACATTCTATTTGAAGTTAGACCTTGATCACCCACATAGAAACTACTATGGGATCCTCTTAAATTTCAATGTCTTCACTGTTCAAAGGAAATAATACCAATTACTTCACAGAACTGTTTGTAAGATTATAATGGAGCTGAAAATTTCTTATTGCCTAATGATGCTGTACTCATGTTTGTGGCAATGCTGTTATAAACAAACCTACTGTGCTGCCAGACGTATAAAATATAGCACATACAATTATGTACAGTACATAATACTTGATAATAAGTACATTACCTTATATATTTACTATACTGTATTTTATTGTTATTTTAGAGTATATGCCTTCTATTTATATATACGTGTATATATAGATATATTTAAAAGTTAACTGTAAAACAGCCTCAGGTAGGTCCTTCAGTAGGGATTCCAGAAGAAAGCATTGTTATCATAGGAGATGACAGCTCCATGTGAGTTATTGCCCTAAAGACCTTCCAGTGGGACAAGATGTACAGGTGGAAGACAGTGATACTGATGATACTGAGCCTATGTAGACCTCTGCTAATGTTTTTGTATCTTACTTTTTGAAGCCACCTTTGCAAAAATTCTATCAGTGAGAAAATTATGGCAGTTGGGGAGACCTGATCTAGCCAATGCCCCCTTGCCTTTAGCTTTCAAGCTGCAATTATTTCTAGGCTTAAGCCAAGCTAACTTTGGGAGACATTTATAGTTTAAATGATAATAATCCTTCCCCAAAACTCAACTGCCTTTGTAAATCTAATGAGAGAGACCACCAGGCTAGGAGATTAGAGGAGCCTGAATCCTGCTAAGGCATAGACATAAATGATTGTCAGCCATTATTCTGGACGTCACAATTACTTCTGCAGATAACATCACTATTGAAGAACCTAAGGTTGGTCTTTTTTTTTTCTTTTTGAGACAGGGTCTTGCTCTGTTGCCTAGGCTGGAATGCAGTGGCATGATCATAGCTCACTGTACCCTCGACCTGTTGGGCTCAAGCGATCTTCCTGCCTCAGCCTCCAAGTAGCTGGGGCCACAGGTACACTCCACCATGCTTGGCTAATTTTTTTAGTTTTTTGTAGAGATGGGGTCTCACTATGTTGCCCAGGATGGTCTCAAACTCCTGGGCTCAATGATCCTCCTGCTGCTACTTCCCAAAGCGCTGAGATTACAGGCATGCACCACCATGCCCAGCCAGATTGGCCTTTTTGAGATATCTTTTCAAGTTTTTTGCATGTCTGACAACTGATGGCTCCCACATGGACATGCCAGCTGCTCCTGTGGCCTCACCTAGAAGCAACTCAGCACAAGAGGACAGCTCCAACCCAACCAATCAGCACTCCCCATACTGTAGGCCCCAGCACACCAAACTATCTTTGAAAAATCCCTAACCTCAGAGTGAGGCCAGCCTCGTGTCAAACTTTCTTTACTGTAATGCCATGGTCTCCACAAACTGATTTTCTTTGCGCAGTGGGCAGAAAGAACCCATTGGGCAGTTGTATTTTTAACAAGAAAAAGCTTAAAATAAAAAACATAAAATAAGAAAACTTATAAATAGAAAAGAGCTTATAGAATAAGCATATAAAGAAAGAAAATACTTTTGTACAGCTGTACAATGTGCTTGTGTTTTAAACCCAAGTGTCAATACGAAGGAGTCAAAAAGTTAAAACAAAAATTAAAGGTGTTTTAAAAAAATTAAAAGTTTATCAAGTAAAGCACTACAGTAAGCTAAGGTTAATTTATTGAAGAAAGAAATTTTTTTTGTAAGTTTAGCGTTACCTAAATGTACAGTGTTTATAAAGTCTATGGTAGTGTATGGTAATGTCCCCGGCCTTCACATTCACTCACCACTCACTCTTTGACTCATCAGAACAACTTCCAGTCCTGCAAGCTTCATTCATGGTAAGTGCCCTATACAGGTGTACCATTTTTTATCTTTTATACCTATTTTTATTGTATCTTTTCTATGCTTAGATACATTTAGATACACAAATATTTACCATTATATTACAATTGCCTACAGTATTCAGTACAGTAATGTTGTAGTGCAGAAAACGACTAACCCAGAAAATATGGCACTTGGGCATGGTGCTTTTGAAAATTGAAAGGCCTTAGAAATAAAACTTAGGATCAAGGTCCCTCTAACCTTGTCTTGTTTCTCCCTGACCCAGCGCCGGGAGAGACTCTCTGGCATTTCCTTATCTGACCAAAAAAGCATCTTACCAAAAAAACCACAATTGTCTTCTATCCCCTTTCTGAAATCTCATTATCTATCACAGAAAAGAAGACTGAGAAATGCAACTACACCTGGATGGACTTTTCTGTCTCCTTGATTCATTCATTCCCCCCAGTAATCATTTAGTACCCTTTAAAAGAATTGTCTACACTCCCCATCTCCTCCGTCCCCTGTGAAAAAGGGTATATAAATTACTGTACTCCATTAGGGGGTTGGGGTAATCACTCCATAACTCCCCCTCCCCCATGCACATTAATAATTTTTTTTTTTTGAGATGGAATATGGCTCTGTCGCCCAGGCTGGAGTGCAGTGGCACAGTCTTGACTCACTGCAATCTCCAACTCCCAGTTTCAAGCAATTCTCCTGCCTCAGCCTCCCAAGTAGCTGGGACTACAGGCGCACACCACCACACCCAGCTAATTTTTGTATTTTTAGTAGAGACAGGGTTTCACCACGTTGGCCAGGCTGGTCTCAAACTCCTGATCTCAGGTGATCCACCCACCTCAGCCTCTCAAAGCACTGGGATTACAGGCATGAGCCACTGCACCGAGCCACATTAGTGAATTTGTATGCCTTTTCTCCTATGAATCTGCCTTTTGTCAGTTGCATTTCAGCGAACCTCCAAAGGCCAAGAAGTTTTCCCTTTGGCCTGCCCATACAGTTTCACACTGTACAGGGTGGCAGCCTACCACATGGACTAGGTATGTAGTAAACTATATGATCTAAGTTTGTGTAAGCCCACTTTATGACATCCACACAATGATAAAATCACCTAACAAATTTCTCAGAAGATATCTCCCCACACTCCTGCCCCATTGTTAAGCGACCCATGACTATATTTACTGAAAAGCCACTAAGTGCCAGGCACTGCTCTAGATGCTGGAGATAAAATGATGAAGATAAATAAAGTCTCTGTTCTAATGGAACTTACATTCTATTCATACAAGACAGAAACAGACAATAAGCAAGAGAAACAAAATAAAGCAATAACAATATATGCCATGAAAAATCAAACGAGATGATTATGATAGCAACTGAGGGTGAGAGGCCTACTTTAGATGGTTTGTTATAGAAAGGCTTCTCTGAGCAGTGACATATGAATGAAAACCTGTATAAGAAGTAATCAACCATGCTAGACCTGTCCAAGACAGAAAACATTCAGAGGCCCTGAGGCAAGAACAAGTTTGAAGAACTTCAAAGGAACAGAAGAAAAGCTCAAGTGAATAGAGAGTGTTAAGCTAAGGCCGGGCATGGTAGCTCAGGCCTGTAATCCCAGCACTTTGGGAGGCCGAGGAGGGTGGATCACTTGAGGTCAGGAGACCAGCCTGGCCAACATGGTGAAACCACGTCTGTACTAAAAATACAAAAATTAGCTGGACATGGTGGCACGCACCTGTAATCCCAGCTACCCAGGAGCCTGAGGCAGGAGAATTGCTGGAACCCAGCAGGCAGAGGCTGCAGTGGGCCGAGATCACGCCACTGCACTCCAGCCTGGGCAACAGAGCAAGGCTCCATCTCAAAAAAAAAAAAAAAAAGAAAAAAAGAAAGATAAATTGAAGCAGATCACAAAGTCATAGTAAAGTCATAATAAAAAATTTAGATATTTTTCTTTTTCTCTTTTCTTTTTTATTTTTTTGAGATGGAGTCTTGCTCTGTCGCCCAGGCTGGGGTGCAGTGGCGCAATCTCAGCTCCCTGCAACCTTCACCTCCCGGGTTCAAGCAATTCTCCCACCTCAGCCTCCCAACGTATTGAAATTACAGGCACGAGCCACTGCACCAGGCCAGCGTAGGAATTTTAACTTCCCAAAGCCAGATGACTGAGATCTTATTAAATAAAGATGAAGAAAAAATGTTATCTTTTGTTCATTTGCCTCTTGAAGAAATACAATACAAAATGGTACAATAACTTACACAGAAAAATCTTAAAATGCTTTTAGGTTGTAGAATATCATGTATAAAATGATTCCATTTATATAAAGTACACAGATGTGTATTTGTGCATAAAGAGTTGTTAGGAAAGCTATTCTCCAAAACACAGATAAGTAGGATTTCAGGTGTGACTTTTCTTCCTTCTACTGTATAGACCTTTCACTATAGTTTGACTCTTCTTTTAAAAATTTAGAGTAATACTGCAATAGTCCTTTCCAAAAAAAAAAAAAAATTGAGAGTAGGCCTTCATTAGTACAGTGGTAGAAAAATAATTAAGAGTACAATGTCATCTCTTCAAGAACAGTAAAACAATTTTTAAAGCTGTAAAAGAGTAACCAGTGTCATCAAATGCTATGGAGACAGTGCTAAGATTAAGAGCGAAAAAAGCACCCATTGGGTTTAGCAACAAAGCTATCACTGGGGACCTCTGCTGGAATTTTCAGTGAAATGTGGAGGTAAAAAAGAGTGCTGTCGAGTAAATGCAAGATGGACTAACAGAGACAGGCATTTCAATACACAAATGTATATTGAGGAAGACAGGTTAGGATGATATTTTCAAAAAAAAAACAGAATTAGGAGAGACATTTTTCAAAGTAGGAGAGATGAACATGTTAATACATTAATGAAAAAGTCAGTCCATCCTAAAATTCATATGTAAATTCAAAGGATCCAGAATAGCCAAAACTATCTTGAAAAAGAACAAAGAAAGTTAGAAGATTTACATTTCCCAATTTCAGAACTTACTACAAAGCTACAGTAATTGAGACAGTATAGTACAGGCGTAAGTACAGACAAATAAGTCAATGGAATAGAACTGACAGTCTAAATACAAATCTTCACATTTATGGTTAGTTAACTGCCAACAAGAATGCCAAAACAATTCAATGGAGAAAGAAGTCTTTCCAACAGATGATGCTCGGACAACTGGATATCCACATGCAAAAGAATAAAGGTGGACCCTTACCTCATTCCATATTAAAAAAAAAAACTAGCCAGGTGCAGTGGCTCACACATATAATCCCAGTACTTTGGGAGGCTGAGACAGAAGGATCATTTCAGCCCAGGAGCTGGAGAACAGTGTGAGCAACATGGCAAGACCCCATCCTCTACAAATAAAAAAAGTAGCCCACATGGTGGCACAAGCCTGTAGTCCCAGCTACTCAGGAGGCTGAGGTGGTAGGATCACTTGGCCTGGGAGTTTGAGGCTGCTATAAGCTATGATTGTGCCACTGCACTCCAGGATGGACAACAGAGAAAGACCTTGTCTCAAAATAAACAAACAAAAAAACCATGACCAACAACAAAAATGGATCAGACCTACCCATTATAGCTAAAATAAACAACTCTTAGAAGTAAACATAGATATGAAACTTTGTGACTTTAGATTAAGCAATGATTTCTCAGATACGACACCAAAAGCATAAGCAGCAGCAGAAGAACAAATAAACTGGACATCATCAAAATTAAAGATGGCCAGGTGTCATGGCTCACACTTGTAATCCCAGCACTTTGGAAGGCCAAAGCGGGAGTATCACTTGAGTCCAGGAGTTCAAGACTAGCCTGGGCAACACAGTGGGACCCTAACTCTACCAAAAAAAAAAAGCAAAACAAAAATTAGCTCGTGTGGTGGCACATGCCTGCAATCCCAACTACTCAGAAGACTGAGGCAGGAGGATTGCTTAAGCCTGGGAGGTCGAGGCTGCAGTGAGCTGTGATAGCACACTGTACTCCAGCCTGGGTGACAGAGTGAGATCTGGTTGTAAGGGGGAAAAAAAAGAATAAAAAGCAACAGGCTATCTAAAAATGTCTGTATAAAATGATTACAACTGTTTGTTATACTGCATAATAATAATAATAATATTCTTAAATAAGAAAAATCTGTAGTGAGGAAGAAGTTAAATAGAGAGAGGAGAGAAAGCAGATAGAGGAGAAAATCTATAGACTGAGATCCCCGAAAAGTTTGTGAGCAAATGGAATCCAGAACACAGGATTACCTCTTCTATGATAGGGAAAGGTAAAAGCAAGTATAAAGAGGAAAATAGATATATCAAAATAGGTGGGAGAACAAGGAGTTGAGAGTGTTCCCACCAAATGGACTATTGTCTCTGGTAAGCATGGCATCTCCTATGAGTGATGGAGGAAAGAAGAGGATTGAGAGACAAAAGATAGCTGCCAGAACGACAGATCACATTTTTATCCAGTGTATTTTCACCCAGCTGTGCCATAACAATACTAAGATAAAATACAAGAAATAAGTAGACAATCTTATCATGGGGCCTCAATGGAACAAAACTCCAAGAAATAGACAATCAACTTTTACAATAATTTTAACATTGTCATGTGAATAGAAAAAAATTAATTATGAATACCTGGAAATACTTTCCTTGAATATAATTCCATTTATATCATCCCATGTAACATGTAAACTTAACTTCTGCAAGTAAATTCCATTTTTAAAATAATCCTGGGCTGAATGCAGTGGCTCACAATTATAATCACAGCACTTTGGGAGGCCGAGGAGGGTGGATTGCTTAAGCTCAGGAGTTTGAGACCAGCCTGGCCAACATGGTGAAACCCCATCTCTACCAAAAATACAAAAAGTTAGCCAGTGTGGTGGCGCATGCCTATGGTCCCAGCTACTCAGGAGGCTGAGGTGAGGTGGGAGGATTTTGAGTCTTGGTGCTGGACGTTGCGGTGAGCCAAAATCATGCCACTGCACTCCAGCCTGGATGACAGAGCAGTACCCCATTAAAAAAAAAAAAAGAAGAAGAAGATAATCCTTTACAATTAAATAAATGAGAAGGAAACAATTGATTGGGGTGGCCATTTCTTTGTCTGTATTTCTCTATAAACAGTAAAAGAAATTCAATCCTTAATCTAAATCACTTGTACACTGTTCTAGTTTTGATCGGGATTACCTATTTGAAAATCTAATCCTTCCAACTGGCATGGTCTAGATTAGTTTAAAATAAATTAAATTACATTTTAAAAAAAGAAAATCTAATCATACAATTGCCACTTTTGGAGTGGCATATTTAAGAACAACTCTACATCTTTCTACAAATTATCACCATCAAGAAAACTGCTTGCAACAGAAGCAAGAATTGACTGCTTGTCTGCTACAACACAGGAAGCAAAGATGGCACACAGTTCCACAGGCTCTGGATGACTAAACAAAAAACCTCTGTTGTTAATATAAACCCAATCAGGTTTTACATAAACTGTGGAAACATACATATTTGCTATTAGTATATTCTGTAAAACTTACAAGGCTGTGTAAACAAGAATTCCAAACAGCCTTCTGCCTCACTCACCTATAATTCGAATTAGAAGGGCCATTCATATTCTATTCACAAGGAGAATAATATGCCTCATTGTCAGGCTTGAAGATTATTATGATGTTCAGTACTGCCATCATGGAGTTTACAAGCTTGCTGTACAGATAAAGAATGTACTAGAGATACATTTAGTTAATTGTAGCAGATGTAAGATGATTAATGCCCAAAAGAAGTATATGAGCTAGGCTCAGGAGTTTTAGAAAAGGGAAAAATCAAGACTGTCTAAAGTATTCAAGGAAAGTAAAAGATAAAAAATTTCCAAATAATTCTTCCCACTGATACTACTCACTATCTTAGAGAGTTTCTTTATGTCTTTTCAGGGTGTTTGGATTTATTTTTATTTTTATTTATTTATTTATTTATTTTTTGAGACAGAGTCTCACTCTGTCACCCAGGCTAGAGTGCAGTGGCGTGATCTCAGCTCACGGGTTTTGCCTTCCGGGTTCAAGCGATTCTCCTGCCTCAGCCTCCCAAGTAGCTGGGATTACAGAGGTGTACCACCATGCCCGGCTAATTTTTGTATTTTTAGTACAGACGGGGTTTTACCATGTTGGTCAGGCTTGTCTTGAACTCCTGACCTCAAGTGACCCACCTGCCTCGACTCCCAAAGTGCTGGGGGATTACAGGCATGAGCCACTGCACCCAGCCCATTTAGATTTAGATACAATTTTTCTTTTGTTCCTTTTATAATTCTAAAGCTACTCTATTAGATTTGGACTACTAAAATGTACCATATAGCCAGGCAAGGTGGCTCACACCTGTAATCTCAGCACTTTGGGAGGCTGAGGCAGGTGGATGATCTGAGGTCAGGAGTTCAAGATCAGCCTGGTCAACATGGTGAAACCTCGTCTCTACTAAAAATACAAAAATTAGCCAGGCCTGGTGGTGGGTGCCTTAATCCCAGCTACTCGGGTGGCTGAGACAGGAGAATTGCTTCTACCCAGGAGGTGGAGGTGGTAGTGAGTGGAGATCGTGCCACTGCACTCCAACCTGGGTGACAGAGCGAGACTCCGACAAAAAAAAAAAAGTACCATATATAAGCTCAATAAAAATCATATTTGATATATTCAAGAATGGTTTACTTAGAAAAGAATAAATTTGCTTTTAAATGTTTGATGGGAGTGGTGCTGATACCTTTCCAGGAGAATCTGAGACTACTTTTACATGTTTGCAAGAGAAATATATACATTTAAGCTATTCAAAAATCTAAAATCTAATAATTAGATGGTAGATTTTTTTATCATCTACTAAACATTGCTAAAGACTGCCAAATAACACTTAAATGTGTTTTGACTAGCAGTGGTTTTAAAATGCAAAGTCATTACAAGTCTCTTCCAGACAGTGTGTAACAGCAAAGAACATATGATTTCTCTAACGACTCCTTTTACAAGGAATATCTTGAGTAGCCCAGGTAACTTACTAATTCAGTTTCTAACCCTCTCTCCAAAAGCAATACAAATCAAGAAAGAGGGTTAAACATTTGTGGGTAATGACTAAACAAATCATATTTAGCTATTCCTTAGCTATTCCTTTTTCCAGTTCCCACTGTCATTGTCCTAAATCTTTACTATACTCCTTGCGTCCTGACTGTATCCTCATTTTTAACATTGACCTTGCTTCCCATCCCTACACCATTTAAGCATATTCCTATTTTAGAAACTGTTCCCCTCCATTCCACATTCCATGTCCTCTTTGCCCTTTCTACAATGAAACATCTTGAATAACCTCCATTCGCTTCATATATTTCCTGCCTCCTCTTTACTCTTCAAGCCACTCCAACCTGCATTCCATACCTACCACTCCATGGAAACTGCTCTGCCTAAGAACATCAATGATGTTCATCAATCCAATGGATATGCTTTAGATCTCATCTATTTAATCCTTTCAGCAGTATTCAAGCCAATTTACTACTTCCACCTTGCCATCCATGACTGCCACATTCTTCTAGTTTTTCTCTTACATCTCTGGCATCCCTTTTCACTCTCCTGTGCAAGCTTTTTTCCTCTGCCAATCCCTTAAATTGTGATTGTGGTGGTTTAAAATTTGTCCACAAATTCTTTTCAAAAGATAAAGCCTAATTTCCCTCCTCATGTCTGAAATTCCCATCCCCAGGAGCATGAGTGGAATTTAATGGCTTGTCTCTAATGAACAGAATAAGGCAGAAGTGGTGGTCTCTGACTAGGTCATAAAAGGGATTGAGGCTTCCTCTTTGCTCTCACTTGGATCACAGCCAGCTGCTCTGTCATGATGACACTTAAGCAGCTCAATGGAGAGGCTACCTGGTGAGGAATGAGGCCACCTTCCAACAGCCAGCAAGGAACTGCCACTTTCTGACAACAGCCATGTGAGTCATCGTGGAAGCTGATCTTCCTGCTCCAGTCAAGCCTTTCAGATGACTGCAGCACTGGCTAATATATTGACTACAACTTCATAAGAGACCCTGAGCCAGAACTCAAAGTTCTGACCCACGAAAACTATGAGGTAACAAACTGTTGTTTTAAATTGCTACATTTTGGAGTAATCTGTCATAACGCAATAGATAACTAAATCCAGTGGTATTTTCCAGAGTCCTATCCAAAGATCTCTATTCTACTCACTCTCTCAACTCTCCATATATGAAAAACTAATATTTATCTGCAGCCCAGATTTATTTTATGTTTTACTGACTGATAAGAGGATATGCAGCCCAGATTTTTGTCCCAAGCTCCAGACTGTAACACATCTTTATGTCAATTTCAACATGCCCCAAAGCAACCACTTCTCTCCCCCAACCTGTTCTTCCTATCTTCCTTTTTATCATTCAACCAGCTCAAGCTGAAAACCTGGATGTCTTCAGACTCTTCCCCTTTCACTCACATCCAATCACTAAATCCCATCAAAAGCAACCTCCTGATTACTTCTCCGCAACCATATTCTTTAAAATAAAAAAAAAAACACACATTTCACCTGAACCTACTGATCAATTTTAACATCATAGAGAGACAAGCTAACATCATATGCCTCTTGATTTGATAGGTTCCACCTATATTCTTGCCCAAAAGAAAAAAAATAAATTTGATTAAGCTTTCAGCTCAAATTATCAATTTATATAGGAAATACAGAGGACAAAGGAACCTGTTTAAACATACCAAAATGATGCTTCCAACAAAATCCAAAATGCAGAAAATTCTACAGAGTAAATGACCTGGTGTCTTAGACAAATAAATGGCCAAGAAAAAGAGAGGGAGAACTAGAGATTAAAAGAGACTCTATAATTTTATATGCAGATCTTGTTTGGAATTCTGACTCAAACCAACTGGTAAGGAAGAAATGTTTGCGACATTCTAGGAAATTGAACAGACTGGATATTTGATATTAATAAATACTACTATTTAGCTGTAATAAAAGTGTTTTGATAACATTCTTTTGAAAATAGAGGGACCTTAACTTTCTTTTTTTTTTTTTTTTGAGACGGAGTCTTGCTTTGTCGCCCAGGCTGGAGTGCAGTGGGACCATCTCGGCTCACTGCAAACTCCACTTCCTGGTTCAAGTGATTCTCCTTGAAGGGAGAGGCTGAATTCTTGGCCTCCCAAGTAGCTGGGATTACTGGCGCTGGCCACAGCAGGGCAAATTTTTGTATTTTTAGCAGAGATAGTGTTGGCCAGGCTAGTCTTGAATTCCTGACCTCAGGTGATCTCCCCGCCTCGGCCTCCCAAGGTGCTGGGATTACAGGCGTGAGCCACCATGCCTGGCCACATACTGAAATATTCACAAGAAATAATAATCTGGGATCTGCTCTAAAAATAATTCAATAGAGGAGGAAGGAGTTAATGGGAGTACTAATAAAACAAGACTGGCCATATGTTGATACTTGTATAAGCTGGATGAAATGAATTCATTTTACCGTCCTCTTTAGTTTTATGAATGTTAAAAATTTTCTATAATAGGCTGGGCACAGGGGCTCACGCCTGTAATCCTAACATTCTGGGAGGCCGAGGCAAGTGAATGCTTGAGCCCTGAAGTTCGAGGCCAGCCTCAGCAACATGGTGAAACCCCGTCTCTACCAAAAATACAAAATTAACCAGTCTTATCAAAATAAATGAATAAATAAAATAGATTTATTTTTTTAAATTTCTATAATAAAAGATTTTTCAATAATAATAAAAAGTGCTTACAACACTGAAATAGCTCTCCACTGCCCTGGGGATAAAGTTCAAATTCCTTAACATGGTTTGCCAAGAAAGCCTTTCATTATCTGTCCTCCTGCTTAGCTCCCCAGTTCATCTCTCACTACTACCTACCTCACAGCCCAACCTCCAGAACTGACAAGCTGCTTACTCTTCTCTCCTCCAAAAAACTTTTATTCCCTTTGTCTCAAGCACTTTTCCCTCTCTGCTCATACGGCTAATCTCTCCTCATCATTCAAGTCAAAACAAACCTGCTTCTCCAAGGAAACCTTTCCTAACCCTTCAAGACTGAGTCAAGTAGCCCACCTATGTATCCCCCTGTGCTTCCTCTATCACAGCTCTTATCTGGTATGTCCCCCAACATATTATAGGTACCATGAGAGGATGAACAATTTCCATCTTATTTGCCACTTTAACCCCACTTCCTAACAAAGTGCCAGGCACACAATAGGTACTCAGTAACCTTTCATAAATTAACAAAAGGCACAAACTCCTCTTTCTAAACTTCCAATTCCTCATAGATCTATAACTCCCCCAATTTCCTTCCTTCCATATCTTCTTTTGTGATCATAAGCCACATAAACAATTGGTTGCTCACATAGTGTTCCTAAATTTATATCCTTAGTTCTCCCTGGCCATTTCATCTAATAAAAATTCAACTAAGGTGAGGCTTGTGTAAATCTATTCAGTTCACAACTATCGCAATGATCCTAACCCAATCCTGAGATTACCTCAAGAACAATTCTCAGTAAAGCCAACTCTAAAGCAAGGTCACTCTAGTTTAGTTCAGGGTTTTCAGAACCACCCTAGAATATATTAACAACCACAGAGACAGACTACAGGCCAAGTGATTTTGGAAACAAGAAATAAAGTTATGCTATTCACTGCCTTGCTTGGAAGGCTACACAACTAATTCAGATATTCTTCCTGGAAGATGTAGCTCCAAGTTATTAGCCACATGCAAATCATTAATATGTACCTTCAAATCCTTCAGAATCCGAATGGACTGAAATAATGTCATGTGTGTAGAATTCATTGCCAATATCCAATGTGTCTCCTACCTTCCCTTTTAAGTAAATATCTATCCTTTTCCCCTCTTCACTAGACCTCCTCTAATTTGAGATTGGGTATCATTTTATTTTCACAAGATGGTACAACAATTGTCTGTTGTTTCTCTGTAAGCAAATACTTCAATATCAAGGAACTAGAAAAGAAAAAAAATCTTCTAAACAGCTGTTAGTGAGAAATATGATACTTCCTTCCTCTGGCAAGGATAATATTTTAGGGAATCTAGTCTCAAAAAGAAGGATAAGCATTGAGGGGGAAAAAAGTATTTTTTTAAACCCTATATTTAGCCAGCAAGAAAAGAGATATTTGTCCAAGTATTCAAAAACTGAAAGGGCAACAAAGCAGAAAAAGGATACATGAAAAGAAGAAAAAGAGGAAAAAGGAAGATTCTTTCTGGGCTAGGCATTCCCAAGAACCTCAGCTGGGGGCCTCTCCAGTATGGTCCTAGATTCAGATCCACACAAATTTGGGATTTGTAAAGTAACTTAACTGCATAGTGTCACTCACTGAAATCACTCTATCTTGAATAGAGTTTACGGGATTTTCTGATTATCACATCTACTTAAACCCAATATTACTTTTCCTTTATCTAAGCCATGGGTTTCATAATTCCAGAGTTTTCAGGACATAATATTCAGTTGCCTCTCTTTCATGCCCACCTAAAGACAATCTTGAACAATGTGTTTAAGACTCATTAAGGTTTAGTCTTTTTCCCTTTAAAAACTATGTAGAGAAAGAAAGCTGATAGTTGAAGGATGATGAAAGTAATACTTTTACTCTTGCAAGCTTGCCTTTAGTAACTCACAACTTACACTTTTCTCCTTCCTGTAGTGAAAGCGAAGTTTAGTAGAAAAAGTCAATAATTTGGCATCCTGATTCCATCACTTAGTGCTATGTGATGTTGAGCAAATTGCTTTAAAAGCCTGGAGCCTCAGATTTCAAAACTGTAACTGGGGATATTAAATGGAGATAATGAATAACCACCTTGCAGAGTTATTAGGAGTGAAATGAATTAAAGGACTCACCAAGCTAGTATATAAGCTCCAGAGAAGAGGAACAGTGAATGTCTTTTTTACTGTCTATTCTTGCTGGCATGAAAACGCACATAGCAGCTCAATAATATTTTTTAAATGAACAAATAAATTCAGTGTCCCCTTTCTCTCATCAACCTTAATCCTTCTTCCATAATCATGTTTTTCTTTCTGTCTTCTATTATTTTCTAAAGCTTTCTGGGCATTCTATTTTGTCCTCTTATGTATTTTCTTCCCTCATATCGGCTATCGTCAACTATACACCATTCAGAGAAAGTACCTTTCTAAGTAAGTTATCTCCCTAATACCACCTACTCTCCATATCGAATGCGATGAGGGTGGAGGGGATAGTCAAAACATAAGATTCAAGGCCGGACGCGGTGGCTCACGTCTGTAATCCCAGTACTTTGGGAGGCCGAGGCGGGTGGATCACCTGAGGTCAGGAGTTCAAGACCAGCCTGGCCAACATGGTGAAACCCCGTCTCTACTAAAAATACAAGAATTAGCAGGGTGTGGTGGCGCATGCCTGTGATCCCAGCTACTAGGGAGGCCAGAGGCAGGAGAATCGCTTGAACCCGAGAGGCAGAAGTTGCAGTGAGCCGAGATGATGCCATTGCACGCCAGCCTGGGCAACAGGGCGAGACTCCGTCTCAAAAAAAAAACCACACACACACACACACACACACACACAACCACGTAAGATTCACAGCAATTCATCTACTTTTCCACGGCCACCAACTCATGTTAACAACAGTGAAGCCCTGAACCCAGAATGTAACTGTAAGGGGACACTGCACTATCACTTGTCTCTCTTCGCTGACAAGAGTCTCGCGTGTAGGAAATCCTTGGCTCTCAAAAGTTAAGGCGTCGTTTGAGCTCGCCTCCCGCTAAATAGAGGGGTGCGTCCCTTGAATGAGACACACAACCTGAACCGACTGGAGGGATTTCGGACCCCCTGGTGTTGCCCGAGGGCTGGTCACTTTTGGACCTGTCCCGGCTCCTCTGGCCACTCCTCCGAGGAAGCAGAGCTCTTCAATCCCTGGAGGGAAGCTAA
Source organism: Homo sapiens (assembly GCF_000001405.40). NCBI lineage: Eukaryota > Metazoa > Chordata > Mammalia > Primates > Hominidae > Homo > Homo sapiens. The sequence goes on along the minus strand of NC_000001.11, from coordinate 51,617,633 downwards.
GGGGTGCGGCCGGCTACAGGGCCTTGGTGGGACAGTGTAAAGTCCATGACAACATATGAAGACAGCATGAACCGCAAGACTGGACCTTTTAAGCCATGACTACGATCACCCTTACCCGCTCACAACCATGCTGGACCCCACTACCGCTTAATAGCGGACCCTAAGAAAGAAACTTGGCTCACCCCCAACCCATAAATCAGACAGCTAGTTTCTATTTATTGGCTGCGCCCCTCTCTCCCTCACCCTCATTGGCTATCCGAGACGTAAAACCCTCCCCAACAAGGGAACCCTCGCGTACGGCGGCACCCCCAGACTAGCAACCTCAACTCAGCCACCTAAAACCCCGGTCCCCCACCTCCACCCAGGAAACGCGGCCCCGAGGCGCCTGGAGCTGTGCCCTCCAAGGACTCACCGTGTAGTAGGAGAGCAGTCCTGCATTGTAGTCCAGCACGAACCAACGGTACTGCCAGCCCTTCATCACGTTAGTCCATTTGCTCAGCGGCCCTTCCATGATGGACGCCATCTTGGGAGCCGCCAATGACAACAAACGGCCTGACGTCACTCGCCTATATGGCATTCAGCATGCGGGGGGCGGGGCCGCAGGGGGCGGGGCGGGTCCTGGGCGGGTCCTGGGCGGTGCCGGCAGATGCTCCAGCGATCAAGTCAAACACGCTTTCTTAGGGCGCCTATTGTGTGTAGGACTCCATGCCACGGATGCGAGAATGCAAACGTGAATACTGCTATTAAGATTATTTATAATCTGTCATGGGATTAGAGTAAAGAAAAAAGATTATGAACATATTAATAAATAATTTTACTGGCCATGATACCTTCCACTTCCAAAAGATTTCATATCTGATATTCATTTATGCATTCATTCCACAAATCCATTCATTTAATAAATATTCGCTGTTTTGTGCTAGGCATTCTTCTAGACATTGGGGATACAACAGAGCCTTCATGACAGGTGAGGGGAATGGTAAAATAAATAGTAAATTATATCGTACATTAAAAAATCATAAATGCTATGGAGAAAAACATAAGCAAGGAAGGAGAGAGCGCTGGGACTGCTATTTTAAATTCCCAAACAGGGAAGGCCTGAGTGAAAAGGTAACTTTTAAGCAAAGACCTGAAGAAAGCGAAGGAGGGAGCCTGGTGGAAGAGCCTTCCAAGACGAAGGAATAGCAAATGCAAAGACCAAATGTTAGGAGTGAGCGTGGCATCTTGAGGGATCAACAAGGAGGTCAGTGTGCGTGGAGCAGTGAGCCAGGGAGAAAGTGGTGGGAGATAAGGTCAAAGAAGTAGGGATAGATCACTAACAGCCTACAGGGGCAATTTAAGCATTTATTGGCTGGGCGCGGTGGCTCGCACCTGTTATCCCAGCACTTTGGGTGGCCGAGGCAGGCAGATCACTTGAGATCAGGCGTTCGAGACCAGCCTGGCCAACATGGTAAAAGCCCATCTCTACTAAACATACAAAAATTATCTGGGCGTGGTGGCGCACCCTGTAGTCCTAGCTGAGGCACAAGAATCACTTGAACCTCGGAGCCGAGATTGCATCACTGCACTCCAGCCTGGGTGACAGAGCCAAATTCTCTCTCACACAAAAAAAAAAAAAAAAAAAAAAAAACCAAAGGATTTATTGACCACCTACTATATCTAGGCACTGTTGGAGGTCCTGGGAATACAGCAGTGAATAAGCTCTCTCAGAGCTTAAATTCTGTGGTGAAAGCAAACACTAAACAAGTAAACAAGAAAAATATCCAATACTGATTAACACTGCAAATAATTTAATAAATTATTTTAATAGGAAGTCAGTGGGTAGCTAATTTATAGGGGGTGGTTATAGGGCAGGCCTCTTAGGAAGTGGCTTTAAACTTAGATATGGAGGATAAGAAAAGGCCAGCCGTGCAAATATCAAGAGAAAGAGCTAAAAAGGAAACTAAAAGATGAGGCACTAGCTGGAAACGGAGGTGTGGTCAAGGGAAGGGCTTTCTTTGTCCTTTTTTAAAATTATTATTTAGATCGAAGACACTAGAGAATATTACTTTGCTGATTTTCAAGAGAGGGAAAAACTGGGGACATCCTAGAGAAAAGAGAGAATAGCAGCAGTGAAGCCCTTCATAAGATTGAGACCTCTTTTTGTGTTGGCAAAACACTGGAATAAAATACAAAAAAAGAAAGAAAGGAAAAGACTGAGACCCCAAGCCCAAGTGCAAAGGTTGACTTTTGATACTAGCAGAGATACTTTATCCAAAGTAACAAGAAAGAAGAGCAGAGAGTATGGGTTCAGATGCCAGTGGATCAGTAGTTAGATGGTATAGAAATGAATGAGTTTCTGTTTTTTTTGTTTGTTTTGTTTTGTTTTGTTTTGTTTTTTTGAGATGGAGTTTCACTCTTATCGCCCAGGCTGGAGAGCAGTGGCACGATCTCGGCTCACTGCAACCTCCACCTCCCAAGTTCAAGAGATTCTCTTGCCGCAGCCTCCCAAGTAGCTGGGATTACAGGCGCTCGCCTGGCTAACTTTTGTATTTTTAGTAGAGACGAGGTTTCACCATGTTGGCCAGGCTGGTCTCAAACTCCTGACCTCAGGTGATCCACCCACTTCGGCCTCCCAAAGTGTTGGGATTACAGGTGTGAGCCATTGCGCTGGGCGGAGTTTCTACTTCTAGTTGAGGAGAGGCTCAAAGCTTAGTACTTAAGAATGTGGATCCTGGTGCCATAGTACCAGGGTTTTAATATCCAGATTCATCACTTAGTAGCTATATGGCCTTAGGCAAGTTTGCTAACTTCTCTGTGCCTCGGTGTCCCCTTCTTTAAAATGTGAGTAACAATAGTAGCTGTCTACAAAGGTTGTTTCAAGGATTAAGTGAGCTCCTATGGGTAAAGAGCTTAGAACAGAGCCTGGTAGATAGTAAGCACTCAATTAATATTAGCTCTTATTCTGCAATTATACAGGCAACAGGAGAAATAAATAAATAAATAAATAAATATTAGTTCTTAGAATTTTCCCAAAGAAATGTGGTGTGGGCCGGGCTTGGTGGCTGACACCTGTAATCCCAATGTTTTGGGAAGTTGAGGTGGGAGAATCGCTTCAGGCCAGGAGTTTGGGACCAGCCTGGGCAACATAGTGGGACCCCATCTCTACAAAAAAAATAAAATTTAAAATTAAAAAAAATTTGTTGGTTATGGTGGCACACATCTGTAGTCCTACCTACTCAGGAAGCTGAGGCAGGAGGATTGCTTGAGCCCAGGAGGTCAAGACTGCAGTGAGCCAAGATCATGTCACTGCACTCCAGCCTGAGTTGGATGCCAGACTGAGACACTGTCTGTAAAAGAAATTTGAAAAAGAAGTAAATAAGAATATATCTCTACAAGAAATTTGAAAAAGAAGTAAATAAGAATATATCTGAAAGGGATAGCAGCCAAAAAAATGAGCATCCTGTTTCTCTTTTCCTTTCTTTTCCTTGGGATCGCCTCTTTTCTATAGATTACAATTTAATAAAGGTTTCTGGGAATAAGGTAGACGTTTGGCATCTTCAAGAAAGCCAGGCCAGGCTCAGTGGCTCATGCCTGTAATCCCAGCACTTTGGGAATCCAAGGTGGGAGGACAGCTCGAGCCCAGGAGTTACAGACCAGCCTGGGCAACAAAGTGAAACTCCTGAGCAACAAAGAACAGCCTGGACAACAAAGTGAGAGCCTGTCTCTACAAAAAATTTAAAAATTAGTGAGGTTGTGGTGGCTCATGCCTGTAGTACTAGCTACTTAGGGGGCTGAGGCAGGGGGATTGCTTGAGCCCAGGAGGTCAAGGATACAGTAAGCAGAGATCGTGCCACTGCACTCCAGCCTAGGCAAGGCAACAGATCAAGACCCTGTCTCAAAAAAAAAAAAAAGAAAAGAAAGAAAAGGCAAGGCTTGGTTTAAGAGACATGGTTCCTATTCAGGAGCTAACCAGGACATGAAACATGCATGCAACTGAGTGTGGTACAAAGCCATTTCTGTTTCTTTTTGGATATTTTTTTTCTTATTAATTCCACCATTTATTATCTACCCTATGCCAGGGACTGTGCCAGGAATGTTATATATCTTATCACTTTTAACCATCACAATAACTCTGTGAGTATTTTAATCTCCACATTTTACAAATAAGGAAACTGAGATTCAAAGAAATGAACAAACTTACCCAGGTACCTGAGAGTATTAATTAGTGAATTAACGAGTATCTGAGTCCATATAAACACATACCTGTCTTTTCATCATGCTACATGGCCTCCTCAAAACACACTATACACTTCCTATAGAAACTTGATGTTCCAGACTAATCAGCAGAATAGCTCATGTTGCGGATGTCTTTTGGGATAAGCAAACTGTGGGGATCTTGAAACATCATGACTCAGATTGAGTTAAAAAATTTACATAGTGTTCATTAGTATCCCTCCATTAGCTTCTTAACAGCAGGAACCAGGCCTTATCTTTGTAGTCCTAGAAACTAGCCCAGTTCTTGGCACACAGAAGGTGCTTAATAATTATTGTTTGATCTGAATTATCTGTTCCATTGAAACTGACCAAAAGGTTTCAAGGATTGTGCTAAACTCCATGAGTTACGTTGTTTCCTTTATTCCCCTCAACAATCCTTCAAGATTTGTACTATCACACCCGTTTTAAATATGAGGACACTAGAACACAGAGTTATTTAGTGGCTTGCCAAAAGTCACACAACTAGTAAACAGCAGAACCAGAATTAGAATCTAGGTCTTTGCATGCCAGATCCATTTCACCCCAGCAGCAAGCTATATCTTCATTGTTTATGTATAAATGTCTTGATCACTTCTCAGTTATTTGGCTAAGATTAAGTGTAGTAAATAAATGTCTTGGACATGACACAGGCAACATCATCAACTTCTAAATCAGTTTTAACTTTCATCAGGGTCACCAGGCATCAGCAGGCTCTACTTAGCTTCAAATGTCAAAACACAGGTCATCAGGGAAAGCCAGGATCAAGTGCAGTTCTTGACTCATAAAACCATGTCCATTTCCACAGCACTTTTTCTACATTCTACACAAAGTGTCAAACTACATTCTTTAAATAATTAGCTAAAGTTACACGTGGTGGAGACACATCGGCTATAGTTCCTACATTCCTCAGTGACTGGCATCTTGTGGAAATGATGTGGCAGCTGATGCATAGCAGAAAAAAAGGACTAGACTCAGAACTGAAAGGTAGAGTCAATGTTAACCGTAAAACATCAAAAACTCGTCAAGGACAGGAGCTGGGACAGATTCATCCTGCCATTCAGAATATCAATAAATATTAAAGACATGATTTTTGAAAGACCATTCTGGCAGCAAAACTGAGGACAAAATGGAGAGGAGCAAGATGAGATAAGAAGACAAAGAGAGTTTTAAAAAGCTAATCAAGCAATAGAGAGTTTCAGTTTGGACAATGACAGCATGGATGAAGAATAGGAAAGATACTATTCTGTATATTTATTGAGAAACATTTTGGAGATAAGATTTTAAAACTCACTAAGCAATGGAATTAAATGAGGAGGGAGTAAGGAGAATCAGAGATAATACCAAGGTTTCTAACTTTTGTAACTGAATAATCATTTAGCCAAGTTTTGTTTTGTATGTATGTATTTATTCATTTATTTATTTAGAGACAGAGTCTCACTCGGTCACCCAGGCTAGAGTGCAGTAGCGCCATCTCAGCTCACTGCAACCTCCTGCTCACAGGTCTAAGCGATTCTCCTGCCTCAGCCTCCTGAGTAGCTGGGACTACAGGCGCCCGCCACCACGCCCGGCTAATTTTTGTATTTTTAGTAGAGACAGGGTTTCACCATGTTGGCCAGGCTGGTCTCAAACTCCTACCTCAGGTGATCCACCCCCCACCCCTTGACCTTCCAGAGTGTGGGATTACAGGTGTGAGCCACTGTGCCTGGCCTGTTTTGTTTTTAAAAAGGAAGAACAAGAATGGCTTGTGTTTCTCCATAGGAAGTTTCCTTCCTTTACACAGCTGTTTAGACCATTAATTTTTTCCCTTAGTTTCTAGCAAAAATTATTTCCAACTTTTCACAGCCAAGAGTGTAGGTACAAATTACTTCATAATGCATTCTGTTGTTGTTGGTTTGCTGTCTTCTCTTCCTAAACTTCACACCAACTGCTTTTTGTTATTGCTGTTATTGTTGTCATGTTTCTTAATTGGTATTTGTCGAGCATCAAATAAAACAACATTCCTACAGTGTTGTTTTATTAAGGAAAAACACAGAAACCTACAAGACATTGACTGTCCTTTGCTGGGTGTAGAGGAAACAAGATCATGCTTATATTTGGTAGAAGCAAAATAAGGCATAGCCTGTTTTGTTCACAGTCCTGTTTTTTTTTTTTTCACCCTTTCCACTAGCTACAGAGCAAGAAAGTGAAACATCAAGTTTAGGAAAAGCTATGATTTTCAGGCAAAAGAGAGTTGAGAAAGGGAGAGAAAATATTTTAGGAGATTTAGGTTCTGTAAGTGTTCTAAGGAAAGAAAAGAGGAATGAACTGATCTTTTGTCTTCTCCTTCCAGTGTCCCCTTGGAGACCCACATCTCAGCTACCTCGGGCTTTAAACATTTTACAAACACCCTCCTTCACAGATGGAAGTGACCTTTCATTCTTTACAGCCCCATCTACACCCTGAACAAACATGTAACAGTGTCTGGGACAACCTATTGCATCTACTCATTGAGTGCCTGGTTCTCCTATCTCTTGGGTTCTTTGAGGACTCAGTCATATGTGCATCCACAAGCTTAGCACAGTGCCTCACGTAGACAACATGGAACACAAAGCCGCAGGCAATCTGCTTAGCAGCAGCAGGCAATCTGAATAAAAGGGTCAGGGAAGGCTAGGGAAGCTGGATTGCCAGAAACCATTTTTACTTACGCTTTGTACTTATTTGGGTTGGCTGAGAGGAGCTCATAGAGATTAGGGAGCTAATTCTCCCAAGCCACTTTCTTGAATAAATGATAGTCAAGGAAAAAGTAGCTTCTCCAGCTAAAATCTCATTGAGGTCAGTGACTTATTCACCTCTCTATCTCCAATATAACAATACTGCCTGGGGCATAGCAGCCCATGTTGAATGTTTGTGAAGATGATCTGAATTAAGGTTAGGAGTTCAAAACCAGCCTGGCCAACAAGGTGAAACCCCGTCTCTACCAAAAATACAAAATTAGCTGGGCATGGTGGTGCACGCCTATAATCCCAGCTACTCAGGAGGCTGAGGCAGGAGAATTGTTGAACCTGGGAGGCAGAGGTTGCAGTGAGCAGAGATTGCGCCACCGCAGTCCAGCCGGGGCAACAGAGCAAGACTCCATCTCAACAACAACAACAACAACAACAACAACAACAACAAATATCAGTTCCTTTTTGAGAGTTTCTTTGGACACCCACACCTGTGCCCACCCCCAGATAGAGCTAATCTTACCTTTACTATGTTCCACAGTGAATTACACATTCTAATTCAGGTAGCAATTATCTCACAGCGTCCTTAATGAGTTCATCCACAGTGTATTGTGACAAGAATATTCTACATTGTAAGATATATGTGTGGGGCCGGGAGTGGTGACTCACACCTGTAATCCCAGCACTTTGGGAGGCCGAGGCAGGCAGATCACGAGGTCAGGAGTTCAAGACCAGCCTGGCCAACATGGTGAAACCCCATCTCTACTAAAGACACAAAAAATTAGCCGGGCGTGGTGGCACATGCCTGTAATCCCAGCTACTCAGGAGACTGAGGCAGGAGAATCGCTTGAACCCAGGAGGTGGAGGTTGTGGTGAGCCGAGATCACGCCACTGCACTCCAGCCTGGGCAACAAGAGCAAAACTCCGTCTAAAAAAAAAAAAAAAAATAGACATTCAGCCGGCAAGTGGATATCCTAATTTGGAGCTCAAGAAATAAACCAGTGCTGGAATTACACATTTGAGTTTTAATCCATAGGCGGTAGCTGGCCAGGAGTGGTGGTTCATGCCTATAATTCCAGCACTTTGGGAGGTTGAGGCATGAGGCAGGAGGATCACTTCAAGCCAGGAGTTTGAGACCAGCCTGGGCAACATAGCCAGACCCTGTCTCTACCAAAAAAAAAAAAAAAAGCCAGGCATGGTGGCACATACCTGTAGTTCCAACTACTCAGGAAGCTGAAATTGGAGGAGCTCTTGAGCCCAGGTGGTTGAGGCTGCAGTGAGCCTTGATGGTGCCACTGCACTCCAACCTGGGCGACAGAGTGACACCCTATCTCTAAAAAAAAAAAAAAAAAAGGAGAGAGAAGGTAGCTGAAGGCATAGGAAGCATTGAGATCAGGGAATGTGGATAGAGTGTATGGTTCAGGATGGAACCCTAGAGGACAGCAAAATTTAAAGAAGAGGAAAAAGAAGAGAAACCAGGAAAAAAGATTAAGAATCAATAATTAGAATGGGGAAAAATGAGAGAGGCTTGAGAAAGCTAAGGCCTACGGAAAATACTTCAAGATCAAATGCAGGAAATTAAGAGGCATTCTCCTTGGTGAACTCTATTTCTATATGAATTAGGTCATTAACAGATAGGAAGGGGGAAGGGGAGGTCATAGAATTAGACAGTGAACTTTAAGAAGGTGATGAAGTGTAAAAGGCAAGAGGGAAGGGCTCTGTGAAGTGAAAAAAAAAGGGATGGAAGTAGCAATAAGGGTCCCTCTGAGTTTAAACATACAAACTATTGGTAGCACTGGCTTATCTTGTTTTGAATGGTTGAGGGATTTTTTTTTTCCCCCAGCAATTCTCAGCAGCCTGTGTCTAGGAACACAGGAGGTGCATCACTGGAATTATCCAAGGTGAGAGAGATTTATAAGGTAGGTGGAGGAAGGAAGAAGTTGAGAGTAGCTGGTTAGCCTATATGTTAGAGTAGGTAGTTAGGCGGACAAGAGCAGGGCAGGAAAGCCCCCCCCCCCAATCCAGGAATGTCAGGTGACCATCAGATGATGGTCAGGAGATTGTTAAACTATCTCTCTAAAATAATCATTGAAGGCCAGTTGTGGTGGCTCATGCCTGTAATCCTAGCATTTTGGGAGGCTGAGGTGGGTGGATCACTCCTTGAGGTCAGGAGTTTCAGACCAGCCAGGCCAACATGGTGAAACCCTTTCTCTACTAAAAATAAAAAAAAAAAAAATTAGCTGGGCATGGTGGCACACTCCTGTAATCCCAGCTACTGGGGAGGCTGAGGCAAGAGAATCACTTGAACCCAGGAGTCAGAGCTTGCAGTGAGCTGAGATTGCACCACTGCACTCTAGTCTGGGTGACAGAGTGAGACTCCGTCTCAAAAAATAATTAATTAAATAAAATAATAATTGGTCGCAGCTGGTGCCAGGGAAAGGCAGTCTCCCAACAGACAGAAGACACTTGAGGCTGATGATCAGCAGCTTCCTGAGAAGATCTCAGGAGTTGGATGAGTGGGCTCAAGCATGCACACTAAGAGGCAAAATGGTGGAGTTTAACTTGTATATGACCTTCCTCTAGGAACACTAGACTGGTAAGGGAAAAACGCCTTAAATGAGCATATGCACAACTTCAGTAAATACAGTGTATGCGGCCCGCCCAAGTGCTGGCAGGCCAGTGTGCATGCGGACAGCCTGCCCCAAGGAAAATCAAGAGAGGAGAGATGCAAGTCCTGGAACCATGCCAATGTATAAAACCCCAAGTCAGGGGTCAGATGGGGCACTTGGATTTCTCAAGTCATCCACTTGGCCCTCTTCCAAGTGTACTTCCTTTCGTTCCTCCTCTAAAATTTTTTAATAAACTTTCATTCCTGCTCTAAAACTTCAGTCAGTCTCTCACTGTGCCATATGCCCCTTGGCCAAATTCTTTCCTCCAAGGAGGTGAGAATTGAGCTTGCTGCAAACCCGTATGGATTCACTGCTGCTAACAGATAGACATAGCTGATGAGATCTAGGCTGATTATGGCAGGAAAGGAGAATAGATTAGGAGGAAGAAGCCAAGAGATTGAATTGGATCTCCTTTGAGGTTAAAGAGAGACTTAGTGGGAATAAGAGAGCTGGGAGGATGGAAAGTTGTGTGCATATATACACACACAGTATGATTCCAATTTTATAAAAAATATACCTATCTACCCAGAAGATTACATAGATATACTACAGAAAAACATCTGTAGGCCAAGTGTGGTGGCTCACGCCTGTAATCCTAGCTCTTTGGGAGGCTGAGCCGGGCAGATCACTTGAGGTCAGGAGTTTGAGATCAGCCTGGCCAACATGGTGAAACCCCATCTCTACTAAAAGTACAAAAATTAGCTGGGTGTGGTGGTGCACACTTGTGATCCCAGCTACTCAGGAGGATGAGGCAGGAGAATCACTTGAATCCAGGAGAGGGAGGTTGCAGTGCTGAGATCGTGCCACTGCACTCCAGCCTCACTGACAGAGCATGACTCTGTCTCAAAAAAAAAAAAAAAAAGAAAAAGAAAAGAAAAGAAAAACATCTGTAGTCAGTTTGTGGGATTATGGTTGGTTTTATGTTTTTTCTTTATACTTTTGTGTTTTCCAAATTTTTTCTTTTTTTCTTTTTTTTTGAGATGGAGTCTCACTCTGTCGCCCAGGCTGGAGTGCAGTGGCGCGATCTCGGCTCACTGCAAGCTCCGCCTCCCGGGTTCACGCCATTCTCCTGCCTCAGCCTCCCGAGTAGCTGGGACTACAGGCGCCCGCCACCATGCCCGGCTAATTTTTTTTGTATTTTTAGGAGAGACCGGGTTTCACCGTGTTAGCCAGGCTAGTCTCGATCTCCTGACCTCGTGATCTGCCCGCCTTGGCCTCCCAAAGTGCTGAGATTACAGGCGTGAGCCACCGCGCCCGGCATGTTTTCCAAATTTTCTACAAGTAACAGACATTGTACTTGTAACTACTTAAAAAGCCATTTTGTAAAGGATAAAAAATATATTTTAAAAAAGTACCACCAGGTAATTATGTCAGCTCTGAATTTGCCAGGCATTTGCCATTTATAATCATGTGCCTGCCTCCTTAAAGAGCTGAAATAAGCAGCATTATTGTTCAAACAGGGACATCCTGTCAGATTGCAACAGCCTTCTGTGCCAACCAGAAGTCTTGCAGAATTCTCATGCCCTCTTCCTCATTCTATATCCACCTAGGTCCCCATAACTTAAAGACAAATCATCACAGCCATAAATTTGCAGTATATTAATTCACTACATTTTTCCAAGCAAGTGGCCTTCAGTAAACAGCAATTCTATGCTGAATCCTGAAGTGCTAAAGATAGTGCTGAAGATACAGAGATCAGTCTTACATAGTTCCTGTCCTCAAGGATCTCAGAGTCTGTGTTGCCACACACGGCAACACATGCCAAGCCAGGGATAAAGGTGCTCTGGGCAAAGAGGGGCGCCTAAACCAGCCTGCACTGGAATCACACAGCCTTTCCTTTCCATGTCCACTGCTACTAACTGGTCTCAAACCTGCACCATTTAATGCTTGGATTGCTACAGTAGCTTGGCGTTATCCACTCCACTATTGCTACCTTAAACCTAGCCTCCACACTGACTGTGAGAGCCGGTCATATTTCTTTCTTTCTTTCCTTTCTTTCCTTCCTTTTCTTTTTTCTTTCTCTCTCTCTCTCTCTCGCTCTCTTTCTTTGTTTCTTTCTTTTGAGACGGAGTCTAGCTCTGTACAGTGGCCTGATCTTGGCTCACTGCAACCTCCACCTCCCAGGTTCAAGCAATTCTCCTGTCTACCCTCCTGAGTAGCTGGGATTACAGGCGCCTGCCACCACGCCCAGCTAATTTTTGTATTTTTAGTGGAGACAGCGTTTCACTATGTTGGCCAGGCTGGTCTCGGACTCCTGACCTTGTGATCCGTCCACCTCAGCCTCCCAAAGTGCTGGGATTACAAGCCTGAGTCACTGTGCCCGGCTGAGAGCCAATCATATTTCTAAGGAAAAGATAAAATTTAATTCCTTACTTCCAGACTTATTTTTTGTGTCATTTATCTTCCCACCTCCAAATATGATACCAGTTCCCTAAATTCATGCCATTATTGATCCTTGGGACATTTCTGCTATTTCTGTCTTCTCTGTGTTGAATGTCTTTACTCCTCTATGTCTGGAAAATACCTACTCATCTTTCAGGACTCCATTAAAGTGTCTGTCATCTCTTCTATGAAGATTTTCTTTTTTATCTTCTTGTTTTTTGGAATGGGGTCTCACTATGTTGCCCAGGCTGGTCTCAAATTCCTGGACTCAAGCTATCCTCCTGCCTCTGCCTCCCTAAGTGCTGGGATTGCAGGTGTGAGCCACTGCTCCTGGCTGATTTTCTTGATTTATCTCTCCAGCTAGTTAGAAATCCCAGTTCCCTTATTTAAATGGCTCTTGTAGCACTTGTAATAATTTCCTGCCTTTATTGGCTTGCACATTTGTCTTGTTCATTAGATTGTAAACGCTTTAAGGACAGGGGAATAATCTTATTCATCTCAGTATCCCAAATACCTAACTCAGGGGTTGGCAAACATTTTCTATAAAATGTCAGATAGTAAAATATTTTAGGCTTTGAGGGCCAGATGTTCTTTATCAGAAACACCCAACTCTGCCATGTAGTAGGGCAAAAGCATAAGTGAATGGGCATGGCTGTGTTCCAATAAAACTTTATTTATAAAAACATGAAGCTAGGCCAGGTGCGGTGGCTCACGCCTGTAATCCCAGCACTTTGGGAGGCTGAGGCGGGTGGATCACCTGAGGTCAGGAGTTCAAGATTAGCCTGACCAACATGTGAAACCCCGTGTCTACTAAAAACAAAAAATCAGCCAGGTGTGGTGGCAGGCGCCTGTAATCCCAGCTACTTGGGAGGCTGAGGCAGGAGAATCACTTGGACCCGGGAGGCCGAGGTTGCAGTGAGCCAAGATCGCACCATTGTACTCCTGCCTGGGAGAAAGAGCGAGACTCCATCTCAAAAACAAACAAAGAAACCATGAAGCTAGCCATATTTGGTCTTCAAAACCAGTTTGCTAATCCCTTTAGTGTATGATGGACTTACAATAAATACCTAATGAATTTTTTTTTTCTTTGAGACAGAGTCTCACTCTGTCACCCAGGCGGGAGTATAATGGTGGGATCTTGGCTTACTGCAACCTCCGCCTCCCGGGTTCAAGTGATTCTCCTGCCTCAGCCTCCCGAGCAGCTGGGATTACAGGCGCCCACCACCATGCCTGGCTGATTTTTGTATTTTTAGTAGAGACGGGGTTTCATCATGTTGGTCAGGCTGGCCTTGCACTCCTGACCTCAGGTGATCCACCCACCTCGGTCTCCCAAAGTGCTGGGATTACAGGCGTGAGCCACCGCACCCAGCCCTAATGAATTTTTTTAAATGTAAAATGAAGTGGTAGAGGCAGTATTTGCGTCCCATTACATTCTGTAGCAGATGCTATTGGTTTCCTGTCCATATTTTCCTGGCATTCACTTCTAGACACTGAAGGCTATTATAGGGAACACACGCAGCTCACTGCCTGAAGATTTTGGTTTTCTTTCTTTCTTTCTGACCAGGGAACATGCTTGGCCTGTGCACAGAGCAAGCTGGGAGTTTCGGAGACTTAATGTTATCAGAACCAATGATGTATAGGGAGTTGAATAATACCCCAATTTTCTCACCCCTCCATTGGGATACCTTGAATGTGCCCTGCACTGTCTCCCAGAGTTCCACAGCATAACTGAGGTCCAATTGCCCACTATGGTAACTAGCTTAATAATGTATACATTATTGACTATCTTCACTTCTGTCTTACTACCCAACTCCTACCCGGGTTTACTGATATCATATCCTAAATAATTTGCCTGCACTCCAACCCAAACCAAGACACATACTTTTTCTACTACATACACCACAGGGCTTAGCCAGAAGACCCCGGCTGAAATGTTTTTATTGCCTATAAAGAGAAATATATTAACTACTAGTATCTCCTAAAATATTGGCGCAGAATAATACAACTACAATAAAAAAAGAAGAGGACTCTTAGAGACCAGAACATAGAATAGGCTCTGCCATAACCCAGCTGTGTGACTTAGGGCAAATCACTTAAACCTATTTAAGATTTTGTCCACTTTCTAGGAAAGAGAGGCAGTATCATGAACCTCACTGGGTTTTTGTGAGGATGAAATAGCATAAGGTACTTAAAATGTCCCATCCAGTTCCCTAAATAGAGCTGTAAGATCGTTTTCTCTCCAAATCTAAAAATCTTGTTCTCAGTTCTCATTCGCTTTGGCCTCAGTAAATTTACTTTATCTGTATACAATACTGTTATTCCTGATACTGTTTTGTGAATTTTTGTTTCACCAGCACATAACTTGTTTTCTTGATTATATTGCTAGTTAACAAAAGCAGGAACTTTATCTTATGCTTATTCATACTTAAGTGAAATCATATATTTGAAAATGGTTTGCAAACTGCAAAGTGTTTTTTTTGTTTTTGTTTTGAGACAGGGTCTCACTCTGTTGCCCAGGCTGGAGTACAGTGGCACGATCATGGCTCACTGCAGCCTCAACCTCCTGAGCTTAAGTGATTCTCCCACTTCAACCACCCTATAACTGGGACTACAGGTGCACGCCATCATGCCCGGCTAATTTTTGTATTTTTTGCCAAGAAAGGGTTTCACCATGTTTCTCAGGCTGACACTGAACTCCTAAGCTCAAGTGATCCTCCTGCCTTGGCCTCCCAAAGTGCTGGGATTGCACGTGTGAGCCACCACCCCAGCCCTAGTGTTTTGTTATTATTTACCTTATTCCATCAACATATTTTGAGCACCCACTGCATGCTAGTCCTTGTGCCAGGCATTAAGGATACAGAAAGAAGTAAGATTTGCTCTCTGATTCAAGAGTTTAGTTGGCTGGGTACAGTAGCTCATGCCTGTAATCCCACCAGTTTGGGAGGCAGAGGCGGGAGAATCCCTTGAGCCCAGGAGTTTGAGACCAACTAGGGCAATATAGTGAGACATCTCCCCGCCCCACTCCTCGTCTCTACAAAAAAAAATTTTTTTTTAATCAGCTGGGTGTGGTGACTTGTGTCTGTAGTCTCAGCTACCAGGGAGGCCGAGGTGGGAGGATCCCTTGAGCCCAGGAGGTCAGGGTTCCAAAGGGCTGTGATTGTGCCACAGCACTCCAGCCTGGGCAACAAAGTAAGACCCAGTCTCAAAAAAAAAAAAAAAAAAAAATTAAAAAAAAATGTTTCATGAACGAGACGGATTATGAAAGTATACGAATAAATTACCATACAGTGAGACATGTGTTAGGGTAGAGGCAGGATGGAAGAATTTTAAGAGCCCTGGCTGGGCGCGGTGGCTCACGCCTGTAATCCCAGCACTTTGGGAGGCCGCGGCGGGCGGATCACGAGGTCAGGAGATCGAGACCACGGTGAAACCCCGTCTCTACTAAAAATACAAAACATTAGCTGGGCACAGTGGTGGGTGCCTGTAGTCCCAGCTACTCGGGAGGCTGAGGCAGGAGAATGGCGTGAACCCAGAAGGCGGAGCTTGCAGTGAGCCGAGATCGCGCCACTGCAGTCCTACCTGGGTGAAAGAGTGAGACTCCGTCTCAAAAAAAAAAAAAAAAAAAAGAACCCCAAGAATGGAACAATTGACTGGCCTGAGGGAGACAGCCAGGCAGACGGGATTCCATTTCCACCTCTGCTGTTGACTAGCAGAGAGATTTTGGCAAAGTTACTTAACCATTTAGACAGCAAGTTCTTGACCTAGGTACTAAGGATAAGAATACCTTCTGCACAAAATTGCCCTGAGGATTAAACAAGATGATAAATGCAAAGGACCCAGCAAAGTGCTTGTACTTAATTGGTGTCCAATACAGGTGCATTTCTTTTCTTTTCTTCTTCCTAGGAAGGTAAGAAGGGCTTTCACAAGGAAAAGTATTTGAGCTGAGCTTACTGACATGAAACCTTTGCCTTCTTACTCAGGGAGAAGAAACTAATGCTTGTAGAGTAGCTACTAGAAACAGGCACTCTCTTTGGGGTTTCCCAGAATGAAGAGGGGAAGAATATTCCATCAAAGAGAACAGTATAGGTAAAGGCAAAAGGCTTGGTAATATTTACTGTGCATCTTCCAGATGTGATGGGACAAGTGAACCCATGGGGGAGATGAAGCTGAAGAGGGAGACCTGAGCAGGATTGGATAACTGCAAAGTTCTTTGCCTCCCAATAGCTAGTGTTTGGAGTTTAAATGTCCAGCTAGCCCTGCAGAACCACAGACAAACTGTCTTTAGACCAAAGTTCTCACTGATCTGCAGGGTTTCAACCCTTAAGTGGAAGTATATCAATTACAAAGATCTAATCTCCTATCTAATTCCCAGGACTACACAGTAATTTCCCAAACATGGGCCTTAGTGCATAATTTATGCACTCACTTTGTAGCTTTGTAATTAAATCTGCAGAGGATTTGGAGCTACAGGGCAATGCTGGTACAACTCCCTGCATATGTAAATATACCAGGCTGGAGTATAGAATTGATGGTTTTGAACACATCCTTTTCCTACCTACACTGCTAATGACAGTGTTACAGCTGCAGTTAAGTGGGATGGATGCACTGAACAAATAAAAAATTAAAAAGCATGCTAACCAACCGATCCACATAATCCTTCCTGATCTGAATTCCTGTGACATTCAGGGTCTGTACCATCCACAACAGCTTTCTGATATCTATTATGTATGTCCTGAACTGTTCCCTGGGAGGTCTCGTGAACTAAATCTGATATTTATCAAGTGTTTACTATACCCTGACACTATGTTAGTAATTTCACATTCATCTTATTGAGTTCTTATTCTGTGCCAAGTGCTCTAGTTACACTGTGGAAAACAAATCGGACTTGGTTTCTGATGTTATGCAACTTCTAAGTACCTCAAGTAATCCTTATAATAACCCTTCAAGACCAAAATTTTACAAAGAGGGAAATGAGAACTAGATGAGGTTAATACTTGGCCCCAAAGCTGACTTACCCATTAGGCACAGTAGGCACAGTGCTTAGGGCCCATAATACTTACAGGAGCCTAAGAAAACATGTTTTAATTTTAATTTCTTTTAAAACCAGAAGAAAAAAAGAACATAATAATAATGAATATATAATAATGAATCCAGCCTGTTTTGTGTTTGTCTTTATGCTGATGCAGTCATAAATATATCTTTAAATGCTTTTTTATGGAAGAAGGGGTCCATAAGGGCAAAAGTGCCTAGAGCCCACAAAAATCATGATATGGCCTCAATGAACTCAGGATCACGCAGTTGGTAAGAGACAGAACAAGGAGGCATACCCTCTAAGCCTGACATCTCTTTCATTAGACATATCTAGAGGATAACTACTGTGCTTTTATATCTCTCTTAGTGCTAGGTTCATAGGGGTAGCTCCATAGTTATTGAATTAAATCACATTGAGTTAACCCAAAGTGCTTTATATAGTGGTGCTACGGTTTGAATGTAAGTGTCCCTCCAAAATTCATATGTTGGAACTTAAAACACCAAGGTGATGGTTTTGAGATGAAATGGGGCCTTTGGGAGGTGATTAAGCCATAAGGGCCCTGCTCTAATAGGCAGGAATAATGCCCTTATAAAAGAAGCTTCAGAGAGCAGCCTGGTCCTTCCATCTATTCTGCCATGTGAAGACACAATGTCCATCCCTTTTTGCCTCCTTCTTCCAGGTGAGGACACAGCAAGAGGCACCACCTTGGAAGCAGACAGCTTTCAGAGAGGAGTTGACACCTTGATCTTGGACGTCCCAGCCTCCAGAACTGTGAGAAATAAATTTCTGTTCTTTATAAATTTCCCAGTCTTAGGTACTTTGTTATAGTAGCACAAATGGACTAAGACAAGTGAATAATTAATAATATATTCTTACAGATTGAATAAAACCCTGTGGATGCTGCAAATATCACATGGATTTTTTTCATCTGAAAAATAGAACTGAAAATAAAGTCTACACATTTTATCAGCTTGTAGAATTTTTGGATCAAAAGATTAAAACAGATATTGTTGCTTACAAATAAAGATGCTTATTTTTTACTACATATTAGACTTATGACAAATCTCTGATCTAAGCATGATATTCTAAAAAGTAATATAAATATGTATATAATAATTTTTTTAAAATTCATCTATTCATTTAACATTCACTGTGCTAGGGACTTAGAATATAAAAACAAAGAAGCCACTGTGCTCACTGCCCTTGAGGAGCACATGGTAAACTCAATCTATCCTTTCACAGAAAATGAACAGACTCCATGGGAATGTAACCAAAATAGTACAAGCGATTCCAGCTTACCAGAATTTAAACATAATACAATTTCTCACAAGGGCTAACACATTATGAACATAACAGTGCTTGTTATAACAGAAGTCATTGGTGTTTTGTTTTTTGTTTTAGAGATGAGGTCTCAGTCTGTCACTGAGCCTGGAGTGCAGTGGTGTAATCATAGCTCACTGCAGCCTCGACCTCCTGGGCTGAAGTGATCTTCCAACCTCATCCTCTTGAGCAGCTAGGACTACAGTCATGCAGCACCATGCTGAGCTAAGTTGCTAGTATTAAAGGAGCATTCCTAATGTTCTAATGTTCATCATGTCACACTTTTTTTTTTTTTTTTTTGAGACAGAGTCTCACCTGTTGCCCAGGCTGGAGTGCAATGGCACGATCTTGGCTCACTGCAACCTCTGTCTCCTGGGTTCAAGTGATTCTCCTGCCTCAGCCTCCTGAGTAGCTGGGATTACAGGGGTGCGCCACCATGCCCGGCTAATTTTTGTATTCTTAATAGAGACTGGGTTTCGCCATGTTGGCCAGGCTGGTCTCGAACTCCTGACCTCAGGTGATCTGCCTGCCTCAGCCTCCCAAAGTGCTAGGATTACAGGCGTGAGCCACCGTGCCCAGCCCATGTCACACTCCTTTTAAAACTGCACCCAACTAGTGCCTAGAGCAGCCATTCCCAACTAGTTGTCGAATTAGCATATGTGTGTGCGCGGGCACACACACACACACACCAGGAGAGATTTGGTAATGTCTGGAGACATTTTTAGTTGTCACAACTGTCAGGGGTTGGGGAGTGCTACTTACATCTGATGAGTCAAAGCCAGAGACACTGCTAAGCATCCTACAATACAGCGGACAGCCCTCTACCCCCACCCCACTACCACCACACACAGAATTATCTGGCCCCAAATGTCAATAGTGCTGATATTGAAAAACTCTGGCCCAGAGGAACTAAATCCAAACTCCTCCAGTTGGCATTCAAGGCCTGGGCCAATTCGGCCCTGTTCCCCCTTTTCTCTTTATCTCCCTCTGCCTTGTTCTCTGGATGCTCCATCTTCCCAGGAACCTTATGTTCCAGCTCTATCAGACCATCACAAAATGAAAGAGTGATTAAGCACTTGGTCTCTGAAGTCAGACAGACCTGGCTGTGTATCTTGACTTTACTACTTGTCAGTTGTATATCCTCCATCTTAGAGACTCAGTTCCTTCTTCTGTAAAATGAGGAAAACAATAGTTGTTTATATTGAGAGAACTCTATGAGGTGATACAAGTAAAGTCATTTCACAATATCTGGTACATCTCTCTGCCTCTGTGCTTTTGCTGTTCTTGCATTTATTAGGGCACCAAAACCAGGCTTCTTTCATCCTAAATTAGTTGCCTAAAGGTCCATGTCCCTAACTGGCCTGAGAATTCCTGGAGAGCAAGGATTGGGTCCTATCTGTTTTTGTTTCCTCAGAACTTGGCATAGCACCCTGCACATAGTAGGTGATTAGTAAATATTAGTTGAATTGCAATTTTGACACTCCCTTTAAGAGAAGACCACCCTGCCAATGGGCAAACAACCTAGAATTCTAAAGGAGGCTCTTATTTTTAGAGCCAGTCATTGTTTTCCTTGCTGCTTCCATTTTCTCTGCCCAACTCTCAGGGCTCGGGTTCTCTTCGTCAGTTCTGGGTACTTGGCATGCATGGTTCTTGGCCAATTGCTCCTCTCTCTTAAAGATCTCATCTAGCTATGTGGCTTAAAATACCACTTATATACCTCCAAATTTATATTTGTAGCCAAGACCTCTTCTGTGGGATTATATTGTGTGTATATATATATGTGTGTGTGTATATATATATATACAATCTATCCTTTGTGTGTGTGTGTATATACACACACACACACACACACACACACACACACACACATATATATATATATACACACATATATTCCATAGGACTCTGATTGATGCAGGTTAATATATTTTAACTGTGTACTTGACATCCCGATTGATTATACACCGACATCCCAACTTAGCACACAGCAGCTAAAGTGACCTTTTAAAAATATAATTCTGATTATGTCACTCCCTTTAAAGGCTTCCCACTACACCAGTTATAAATCCTACCCATGGCTTATATCATGAGAAGTCTTGACTCCATCCTTTCTCCAGCCTCACCTCCTTCCTCACTGTGCTTAAGCCACATTGGCTTTCTTTCTGATGCTCAAATGTGACAAACTCATCCTCCTTCTCAGAGCCTTTGCACTTGTTGCCTCTTCTTGGAACACTTGCCCCAGATGAATACATGGCAACCAAAGTGTCACCTCAAGGAGGACCTCCCTGACCCCCTTTCCTCTCCCAGCATGAAAGCTTTCTCCATCTCTCTCTAAGTCATTGCCTTGTTTTATTGCTTCCTTTATGAGACTCTGTGTCCCCTACTGGAAAGGTAGCTCCATGGGAGCAGGAGACTTGCCAGTCTTGTTCTCCACTGTATCTTCAGTCCTAGCCCAGTGCCTGGCATATAGGAGGACCTTAATAAATAGATATTGGATTTTTTTTTTCTTTTTTGAGATGGAGTCTCGCTCTGTCACCCAGGATGGAGTGCAGTGGCACGATCTCAGCTCACTGCAACCTCCGCCTCCCGGGTTCAAGCAATTCTCCTGCCTCAGCCTCCTGAATAGCTGGGATTACAGGCACATGCCACCATGCCTGGCTAATTTTTGTATTTTTAGTAGGGATGGGGTTTCACCATGTTGGTCAGGCTGGTCTTTTTTTTTTTTTTTTTTTGCGACAAGAGTTTCACTCTTCTCGCCTAGGCTGGAGTGCAGTGGCGTGCTCTCGGCTCGCTGCAACCTCCACCTCCTGGGTTCAAGTGATTCTCCTGCCTCAGCCTCTCAAGTAGCTAGTATTACAGGTGTGATCCACCACACCTGGCTAATTTTGTATTTTTAGTAGAGACGGGGTTTCACCATGTTG
The DNA here is from genome assembly GCF_000001405.40 of Homo sapiens. NCBI lineage: Eukaryota > Metazoa > Chordata > Mammalia > Primates > Hominidae > Homo > Homo sapiens. The sequence goes on along the minus strand of NC_000001.11, from coordinate 51,596,371 downwards.
GTCAGGCTGGTGTTGTACTCTTCAGGTGGTGATCCATTCACCTCAGCTTCCCAAAGTGCTGGGATTACAGGCATGAGCCACTGTGCCTGGCCTTTTTTTTTTTTTTTTTTTTTGAGACAGCGTCTCACTCTGTTGCCCAGACTGGAGTGCAGTAGCAGAATCTTGGCTTACTGCAACATTTACCTCCCAGGCTCAAGAAATTCTCCTGCTTCAGCCTCCCCAAGTAGCTGGGATTATAGTCGCCCGCCACCATGCCCGGCTAATTTTTGTATTTCTTAGTAGAGATGGGGTTTCACCATGTTGGCCAGGCTGATCTCAAACTCCTGGCCTCAGGTGATCCACCCACTTCGGCCTCCCAAAGTGCTGGAGTTACAGGCGTGAGGCACCATGCCTGGCCTGATAAATAGATATTGAATAGATGAATGAAGTTAAACGAAAGTGTAGTGAAGGCACTGGAATGAGAAGGCCTGGTTTCTAGCCCCTATTCCATCTCTGTGTGACCTTGGGAAGCTACTTTGTCTCTTAGAATCTCAGTTTGTTCATCTGTAAGGCGAGCATGATAACACCCTCCTCACACTAGTGTGAGGATTAAATGATACGCCTCTTAAGAGCCTGGTGCAGTGCTTAGCACATAATACAATAATCAACAAATGCTGGTGCTTTTTTCCCTCTTTGAGCCTCATTTTCCTCACAATAGGGTAAATAACATTGATTGTACAGTATGGAGTTGTTGTAGAAATGACATGAATTTACAAGTCTTTCGCTTCTCTGGCCTTTGCCCATGGTCTTCTCTCTGCTCCTCCTCCTCCCTCCCCCATTTCTTCCTCCCTGGTTAGCCTCAGTTGTCACTTTCTTCAGGAAGCCTTCCCTGAGACCCCATGCTGGATCAAAGCCTCTTCTGGGCCCCCTCAGGCCCTGCATTTCTGTTAAAATAAACAGATATCATCGTGGTTTCTTCATAGGCCCAGTGGATGGATGGATGAATGGAAGGATGGATGGATGGAAGGATAGAAGGATAGAGGGAAGGGAGGATGGAGGGACAGAGAGATGACGAACGGAATCAAGTGAGAGCGACTTCAACCAGCTCCACAAAGTCGAGCACCCCAGAGGCAAGCCTCAGCTGCCCATTCCACTCCCTAACTCCTAGAGACCCTCCCCTGCCGCTCCCTTAACACCTGGTTGGCCCCCATTAGCTCCTCAGTCCTCCGGCGCTCTCAGCGGTGGTGCCCTGGGATTTGTCCTCATTATTCTCACTACCCCCAGGCCTCGAATGGAGGGCAGCCAGGTGTGGGGATGCAGGTGATCTCAGCCCCCGCCCCTGGGTCAAGGTAGAAGTGGCAGCAGTGGGGCCGAACTCCTGGCGAGGGTAGCAATGTTCCAAGGCTGGGACTCGAGGTTCCGCAGGATGAAGGGGCTGCAGCTGCTGCCACTGCTGCTGGTGACCTGCACCCTGGGAACGTGCGCCCAGCGCTGGGTCTACCTGCGCGAGGAGTTCAAAGACGGGGGTAAGCAGTTCGGTGCCTGGCAGGCAGCGACTATAGAACAGACTCCACGCCCTTGCCTGTCACCTGTCCCAGCGGTCAGGCAGGCCGACTTTCCCGGTTTGGAGCCCGTTTAGAGAGAGAAAGACTACAGCTGAAATCCCTACTCGCTACCTCCTAGCTGTGTGACACTGGGCAGGTAGCTTACTAAGTCTGCATTTCAATTTCTTTCTCTATTAAATGAGGACAATACGGATCTTGCAAGATTGTTCAGAGTGTTAAATTAGGTAAGGTGAGTAAAGCATTGTCCCTAGCATATAGTTGGAGCACACAGTTGGCATGCAGTAAACGTTTGTTCCTTCTCCTTCATCTCAAAAACACAAATGGGTGAACCCTGGAGGAAAAAGGGGGTCATTGATTGTGATTGTGAAATTTTCTGTTTCTTTTTTTTCTTTTTTCTTTTCTGTTTCTTTCTTTTTTATTTTTTTTGAGATGGAGTCTCACTCCGTCACCTAGGCTGGAGTGCAATGGCATGATCTCGGCTCACTGCAACCTCTGCCTCCCAGGTTCAAGTGATTATCCTGCCTCAGCCTCTTGAGTAGCTGGTGCCCGCCACCACGCCCGGCTATTTATTTATTTATTTATTTTTTATTTTTAGTAGAGACAGGGTTTCACCATGTTGGTCAGGTTTGTCTCGAACTCCTGACCTCAGGTGATCCACACACCTCGGCCTCCCAAAGTGCTGGGGTTACAGGCGTGAGCCACTGCGCCTAGCCAAATTTTCTGTGTTTCATAAAATATCAGAGTTCAGAGGATCTTGGGGGTCATCTTGTCCAGTCTCTTCCCTAGAATGCCTCATGAACTTCAGAGAATTATGGAAGGGCTTACTTACCTAAGGACAAATGTTCAATAGTACTGTTTCAGCCCACTAACAAATGATGCTCTTCGTGTGTGTGTGTGTGTGTGTGTGTGTGTGTGTGTGTGTGAAATCTGATTAATTATTTGAGGGTGCAGTAGATAGGGCACTTGCTGGGGAACTGGGATGTTTTGGATTTGAGTCCACATTCCACCATGGATCCCTGGATAAGCCTTTTCCCATTTCTGAGACTCAAATTCCCAATCTTACTTACCTAAAGACAAATGTTCAATGGTACAGATACTGGTGATACAAGTAATACTGTTTTGAGGGTAGCAAGGTATAGAGGTGCTACAGAGGAAGGTGGGAATAAGCCCAGGCAAAAGGCCTGGACAGGAAAGCTTCAGGGAGAAGGCGAAACTTAAGCAATGTTTCGAAGGATAAGTCAGTTTATCAGATGGGCAGAGAAGGGGAGAAGGGTATTCCAGGTAAGAAGAACAGCATGTACAATGATACAGCCAGCAGTGGCATCTTCAGGGAACAGGAAAGTGTGAAGGGGAGGGGAGTTAGGGTGAGGCTGGAGAGCAGGTGGGGCATATACCAAGGGGGTTAGGGAGCCTGACCTTTTGCTGAAGGCAGTGGGAAACTAGTGAAGGTGATAAGTGGGGAGAAATAAGATCTGACCTGGGTATTAGAAAGAGTGCTTCAGAAAGTAAGTGGACCTGGATTGTGAGGCTGACTGAAGTTGAGTTTGGAGACAGAAAAACCATCCAGGAGGCTATTGTAATCTTTTTTCCCCACTATTTATTTATTTCCATTTATTTCTCTCTCCCTCTCTCTCTCATTTTCCCCCTCTTCATGGTGAAAAGTAGAGAGGCTGTACCAGAGTAGTAGTGATAGGAATACAGGGGAGGGGGCAGACAGGAAAAATGTTCAGGAGTTGGCTGAAAAGTGGGATGCAAAAAGCCCCTCAGCTTCACTGTAACAAAGCACAATCCTTTTCCAAGGATAGGTTCAAGGTCCCCTACTTCCTGATGGATTTCAGCCATCCTTTGTAATGAGCCCTTTGAGGCTAATCTTGTGACTGCTAGCTTGAGGGCCCATTTCCCTGCCCCAGCTGGCTTTTACTCACACCATAATCCCTCCCAGTAGAAGGCAGGGAGAACATGCACAGACCTGCCATCATTCCCTCAAGGACTGAACTCCACTTGTCCAATGGGGGAGTAAATGCTCAAATGCCCAAGGGTATTATCAATAAATATTTAGGAAATGCTCTGGAATCAGGAAAAGAGAGGCTTCAAGCCCCAGGCAGTTGATGAAGCCAAAATCAGGAACACAATCCAGCACTATGTCCAGGAAGGTTTGGTCTGCACGACCTCACCTCTTCCAGGAAGACTTGCCTAGGCTTCCCCTAGTTCTCTTAGCCCCTGTGCTTCTTGTGTGTCAGCCCTGCTCACACAATGACTGTCTATTTACCTTATTTTCTTTTGTTTCCAGCCCAGTAAACAATTATTGGATGGCTGAATTATTGGACTGAATCTTGACACATACACCAAAAAGTAACACCCCAAGAAGAGAATTGTTATTACAAGAAATCTTCCTACATTAAGACTTAGCAACGGCCGGGCACAGTGGCTCACGCCTGTAATCCCAGCACTTTGGGAGGCCGAGATGGGCAGATCACGAGGTCCGGAGATCGAGACCATCCTGGCTAACACGGTGAAACCCTGTCTCTACTAAAAAATACAAAAAATTAGCCGGGTGTGGTGGCGGGCGCCTGTAGTCCCAGCTACTCGGGAGGCTGGGGCAGGAGAATCGCTTGAACCTGTGAGGCGGAGCTTGCAGTGAGCCGAGATTGCGCCACTGCACTCCAGCCTGGGCGACAGAGCGAGACTCCGTCTCAAAAAAAAAAAAAAAAAAAAAAAAGCCTTAGCAACAAGTAATCGTTGAGGTCAGGTGCCTACTTTGAAGAAATCAACCCAAAATGCAATTATTATGTTGAGTGAAGAAAGGTCAGAGAGATGTGCAGAAGGGCTGATTCTGCTCACTGATTGAGGAGGGTTGGCTACGGGGGTCCAGGGTTCTGAGGCTTATCCTCAGCTTAGAGGACCGAGAAGTCCAGTGTTAGGGTACTCAGAACTGGGAAGGTTTAGGCACTGACTTGTTCTATCCAAACTCATAAGAGGCATATATATTAGCGAGATACCAATATTTCTCTTTTTTTTCTCTCTCTCTCTGTCTCTTTCTTTCAGTCTTGCTCTGTTGCCCAGGCTGGAGTGCAGTGGCATGATCTCAGCTCACTGCAACCTCCACCTCCAGGATTCAAGCAATTCTTCTGCCTCAGCTCCCGAGTAGCTGGGATTACAGGTGTGCACCACCTCACTTAATTTGGTAGAGATGGGGTTTCACCATGTTGGCCACGCTGCTTTTGAACTCCTGATCTCAAGTGATCTGCCCGCCTTGGCTTCCCAAAGAGTTGGGATTACAGGCGTGAGCCACTGTGCCCGGCAAGATACCAATATTTATCAAGCATCTTAGACTTCACATGTCTAAGACAAAACTTTTATGTGCTCCTCCAGACTTATTCTATTTCCCCCGGTGTTCTCTATCTTAGTAAATGGCTTAACCATTCATCTGGTTGTTTAGGTCAAAAATTAAAGAGTGGGCAGGGGTGGTGGCTCACGCCTGTAATCCTAGTGTTTTGGGAGGCTGAAGTGGCAGGATTGCCTGAAGCCAGGGGTTTGAGACCAGCCTGAGCAACATAGTGAGACCTCGTCTCTATTAAAAATTAATTAATTAAAAAATTAGCCAGGCATGGGCCCGGCACGGTGGCTCACGCCTGTAATCCCAGCACTTTGGGAGGCCGAGGTGGGCAGATCACGAGGTCAGGAGATTGAGATCATCCTGGCTAACATGGTGAAACCCCATCTCTACTAAAAATACAAAAAATTAGCTGGGCTTGGTGGCAGGCGCCTGTATTCCCAGCTACTCGGGAGGCTGAGGCAGGAGAATGGTGTGAACCTGGGAGGCAGAACTTGCAGTGAGCAGAGATCGCGCCACTGCACTCCAGCCTGGGCGACAGAGCGAGACTCCGTCTCAAAAAAAAAAAAAAAAAAAATTAGCCAGGCATGGTGGCATGTGCCTGTAGTCCCAGCTACCTGGGAGGCTGAGACAAGAGGATTGTGTGAACCCAGAAGTTTGAGGTTATAGTGACCTATGATCGTGCCACTGCACTTCAGCCTGGGCAACAAAGAGAGACCCTGTCTCGGAAAAAAAAAATTAAGAATCATCTTTGATTCTTTTATTTCCCTCATCTTCTTTATTTAATCCATCAGCAAGTTTAATTGAGTGTACCTTCAAAACATAATCCTAAACGTGACTTTTTTTTTCTTTTTTTTCTTTTTTTTTTTTTTTTGAGACGGAGTCTCACTCTGTCGCCCAGGCTGGAGTGCAATGGCGCGATCTCGGCTCAATGCAAGCTCCGCCCCCTGGGTTCACGCCATTCTCCTGCCTCAGCCTCCCGAGTAGCTGGGAATACAGGTGCCCGCCACTACGCCCGGCTAATTTTTTGTATATTTAGTAGAGACGGGGTTTCACCGTGTTAGCCAGGATGGTCTCGATCTCCTGACCTCGTGATCCACCCGCCTTGGCCTCCCAAAGTGCTGGGATTACAGGCTTGAGCCACCGCGCCCGGCCACGTGATTTTTTTTTTTACCTCCTGTATTGCTACCGACCTAGCCCAAGCCACTATCATCTCTCAGGTGGACTACTGCAGTAATTTGAATGGCCTCTGCTTCTGTTTCTGCTTTCCCTTTGTCTTTTCTCATATAAATTTCAGAATGACTTTTTTGAAATGTAAATCAGATTGTATCATTCTGGAACTTTAAAAACCTCCACTGCCTATTAGGTTTAAAATAAAACCCAATCTTCTTACCATGACCCACAAGAGCTTCCATGATCTAGTCCCTGCCTACCTCTCTCTTTTTTTTTTTTTTTTTTTTTGAGACGGAGTCTCACACTGTTCCCTGGGCTGGAGTGCAGGGGCGCAACCTCAGCTCACTGCAACCTCCGCCTCCCAGGTTCAAGCAATTCTCCTGCCTCAGCCTCCCAAGTAGGTGGGATTACAGGCACCTGCCACCACGCCCAGCTAATTATTTTTATTTTTAGTAGAGATGGGGTTTCACTATGTTGGCCAGGCTGGTCTTGAATGCCTGACCTCGCGATCCACCTGCTTCGGCCTCCCAAAGTGCTGGGATTACAGGCATAAGCCACCATGCCCGGCCCCTGCCTACCTCTCTTATCTCCTGCTTGTTCATTATGTTCCAGCCACATTGGCTTTCTTGTTGTTTCTCAGACTTCAACCCCATCTCAGGGCCTTTGCACTTGCTGTGATTTCTGCCTGGAATATTCTTCTCTTAGATATTCATATGGTTTGCTCCTTCTCATCATTCAGGTTTCTGCTTAAATGTTTTCTTCTTAGAGGGGATTTTCTTGTTTGCCCTATCAAATATTATTCCCCTGTATACGGTTATACTCTATCCCTCTATGTAACTTAATTTTAAAAAATGAACTTTTTAAGATATAATGTACATGTAACAAAATGCACTCAATTAATGTGCATTATTCATTGAATTTTGAAAAATGTAGGCCAGGCGTGGTGGCTCACGCCTGTAATCCCAGCATTTTGGGAAACTGAGGCAGGCAGATCGCCTGATCTCAGCAGTTCAAGATCAGCCTGGGCAACATGGCAAAACCCTGCTTCTACAAAAAATACAAAAATTAGCTGTGCATGGTGGCGTGCACCTGTGGTCCCAGCTACTTGGGAGGCTGAAGTGAGAGAATCACTTGAGCCCGGGAGTTCAAGGCTGCAGTGAGTTGAGATCGTGCCACTGCACTCCAGCCTGGGTGACAGAGGGAGACCCTGTCTTAAAAAAAAAAAGAAAAGAAAAGAAAAAGAAAAATGTATACACCTGTGTGACCACTGCCACAATCAATATATAGAACACTTCCATCACCCCAAAAAGTTCCCATGTAAGCCTTTGCATGCTTACTATCTCTCTCTGTCTCTCCGTTTTTCTCTCTCCTCACTGTTAGATTCACTTCCTGAGAGCACAGTGCTTCTCTGCTGTCTTCACTGCTATAGCTTCAGAAACTAGAAAAGTGCCTGGATCAGGCACATAGTAGGTGCTCAATAATTTTTTGTTGACAAAGAATGAATTGCCCTGGGAAATTATCCTTTTCAGAGATCCAAATGCTCATATGAGCCAAGGCAAACCCTTCCTGGTTATCAGAGACCCAGGAAACCAAGTTCAATGAGTCTGAATTTTATCTTATTGAATGCTTATTGTGTACCAGCGAGTCTTTTTCTTTTTTCTTTTGTTTTTGAGACAGGATTTCACTCTGTCACCCAGGCTGGAGTGCAGTGGTGCTGTCATGGCTCACTGCAGCCTCCACCTCCTGAGCTCAAGTGACCATCCCACTTCAGCCCCTGAGTAGTTAAAATCACAGGTGCACACCCAGCTAATTTTTTAATTTTTAGTAGAGACAGGGGTCTTGCTATGTGGCCCAGACTGGTCTTGAACTCCTGGGCTCAAGCAATTCTCCTGCTTTGGCTTCCCAATGTGCTGAGATTGTTGTTATTATTATTTTTTTGAGACAGAGTTTTGCTCTTGTTGCCCAGGCTGGAGTGCAATGGCATGATCTCAGCTCACTGCAACTTCAGCCTCCGAGGTTCAAGCAATTCTCCTGCCTCAGCCTCCCGAGTAGCTGGGATTACAGGCATGCGCCGCCATGCCTGGCTAATTTTGTATTTTTAGTAGAGATGGGGTTTCTCCATGTTGGTCAGGCTGGTCTCGAACTCCTGACCTCAGGTGACCTGCCCACCTCGGCCTCCCAAAGTGCTGGGATTACAGGCATGAGCCACCATGCTTGGCCGAATTTTTTTCTGTATACATAATTTTACTGAATTTCTCACCAGTTCTATAAGGAAGATCCTATTATTCACTCTTTCAGTGATGAGGAAACAGGTTCAGAGAGGTTGGGTGATTTTCCCAAGGTTGTACAGCTAATGTCAAAAGCAGTTGGGAAGCCAAGGAGGGGAACATCTGGAAAGCATTCATTGCATTTGACAGTTAGGAAGACCATTTGACAACTCAGTGGAGTGGTGAGGCGGAAGCCTCACTACCTTAGGTTGAAGGGTAGAGGGGAGCTGAGGAAATGAATACAGCAGGGTTGGGTTACATTTTGGAGAATTCTGGCTGAGAGGGAAGTAGAGAAGAGCGCAAGTAAGTAATTTAGAATACAAAGTGCACATGCAAGGTTTGGATGACACAAGGTGGGGGTTTTGCAGAAAGGTAAACAGGCAAGGGGGTTGAGAAGAGCGAGCAAGTTGATGGATCTCCACCTCTTTTCACTTTACAACCCCTGTACCTGGTAAAGTACCTGGCACACAGGAAGTGTTACAAGTTTGAAGGAAGAAGGAAGGAAGGACTGTGAGAGTTAGGCAGAAAGAAGCCAAGTGACTAAAAAGAAATGGGATGGGAAGTGTCAAAGAACAGATGCAGTTCAAGTAACACAGTGTGAGAATTGGAGGATAGGAGGCCATGGTCATGGAGGTGGGTGGAAATGGGTGTTCGAGTTTCAGATTTCTTCTTCTTCTTTTTTTTATTTTGAGACGGAGTCTGGCTCTGTCACCCAGGCTGGAGTGCAGTGGCACGATCTCAGCTCACTGCAACCTCCGCCTTCTGTGTTCAAACAATTCTCCCACCTCAGCCTCCTGAGGAGCTGGAAGCACAGGCACATGCCACCACGCCTAGCTAATTTTTGTATTTTTAGTAGAGATGGGGTTTCTCATGTTGGCCAGGCCAGTCTCGAACTCCTGACCTCAACTGATCTGTCCACCTCGGCCTCCCAAAGTGCTGGGATTACAGGCATGAGGCACTTTGGAGTTTGAAATTTCAAAGCAGTTTCTGCTGATGACAAGGCCTAGGGTGTGAATGTAGTGACAAATGGCTAACCTGGAGTAGAAGTAGAGATGAGGAAACTGAGAGGCTAGGATGGGCTGTCCTATCGACATCACCTGGATGATGATGGACCTGAGTAGAGAGGAAAACTGTGACCAGGGTGCCAGTTTGCAGTAAGTGATGGGAGGGACTTGGAGTGGTGACTGATCAGGGCAAGAAAGCAATAACATGAGTGACAGCATGGAAGATTCCACCAGTAGTCCCTTACCTGCAATCTGTAAGAGCTTCCCACCACAGCCCTGGGACCAGCCACCCCAAGGGGCCTCAGCCTCGTGGACTGGGGCAAAACATTAGCCTCTGCTGCTTCCATTGTGACCCGCACCTGGGGCCTGGCTGGTAGGATTGTGAGTATAGCCTTTCTAAGCCACAGTATGCAATTCTGGCCAAAGCCTTAAAATTGTACATATCCTTTTCCTAGGTAATTCCCTTCCTAGGATTTCTTTTTCCTCTCAAGAAATAATCAGAAATGTGAGCAATACTTTATGCATATGTAACATATAAATCATGTGAGCATTATTTGTAATTGGAAACATTTGGAGACAAACCTAAATGCCCAACAGTAAGGGCTCAATTTAGTAAAGTATGATATATCCATAGAATGTTTGGGAAGTTTTTAATGTCATGGGGAAATGTTTATGACCTAATGTCTTGAAAAATTTACAAAATTATATATATAGTCACTGTAAAATATATTTGTGCATAAAAAAAGAATAGAAGAAAATGTACCAAAATGGTAAATAATGGAATTTCAGATTAGTTTAATTTTTTCATTATTTTCTACAATGAACTTGTGTTACCCTTTTAATTTATTATTATTATTATTATTAATTTATTTTTTTGAGACACAGTCTCACTCTGTTGCCCAGGCTGGAGTGCAGTGGCACGATCTCGGCTCACTGCAACCTCTGCCTCCTGGGTTTAAGTGATTCTCATGCCTCAGCCTCCTGAGTAGCTGTGATTACAGGTGTGCGCCACCTATGCCCGGCTAATTTTTGTATCATTAGTAGACACTGGGTTTTGCTACGTTGGCCAGGCTGGCCTTAAACTCCTGACCTCAAGTGATTCACCTGCCTCAGCCTCCCAAAGTGCTGGGATTACAAGTGCGAGTCACCGCTCCTGGCCATTACCCTTTTAATTAAAAAAAAAAAACTATTAAAAATTAAGAGAACTGTTTGCTCTTTCCAGTTCTTGGAGTTAAATTTTCTGCTTTTGAACTTTATTTATTTATTTATTTTTTGAGATGGAGTCTCGCTCTGTTGCCTAGGCTGGAGCGCAGTGGCACGATCTCAGCTCACTGCAACCTCCACTTCCCGGGTTCAAGCAATTCTCCTGCCTCAGCCTCCTGAGTAGCTGGGATTACAGGTGCGCACCACCACGCAGGGCCAATTTTTGTATTTTTAGTAGAGACAGGGTTTCACCATGTTGGTCAGGCTGGTCTCGAACTCCTGACCTTGTGATCTGCCTTCCTCGGCCTCCCAAAATGCTGAGATTACATGCATGAGCCACTGCGCCTGGCTGAACTTTATTTTTGATATCTAACCTGTACCTGATGCCTTAAGTAACCTTTATTAAGCATAGTCTTAGCCACTAAGCATGATGCTTTACACACTCCAATCCTCATCTCAGCTCTGCAAAGTAATTATTATTTTCCTAATCTACAGATGGTAAAACTGAAGCCCAGAGAAGTCAACTAATTTGAGGTCACATAGCTGCTGAGTGGTAAAGCAGGGTTTGAATCAGGTCTGAATTTTTTTTTCTTGCATTATTCCTGCTACCCACCCCACTGCCTTCCACAAGTCCAATAAGTTGAGGGCCTTCTGACTTTTTTTTTTTTTTTAAGAGATGGGGCCTCACTCTGTCACCAGGCTTGGAGTGCAGTGGCATGATGATAGCTTATGGCAGCCTCGAACTCCTGGGCTGAAGTGATCCTCCCACCTCAGCCTCTTGAGTAGCTGAGACTATAGGTGTGCACCACTGCACATGGCTAGCTCACATTATAAGTAGTGCTTAGCACCCTCCAGAAAGGTAAATCTTAGATTCTTCGAATGGCAGAACTGAAAGCCTCCTGAGAGCTCATCTAACCCCAAATGCCCACCTTTTCCCCATTTACAGGTGAGAAATCTGAGATCCAGAAGGGAACATGACATGCTAGGGGCATTTAAGGGATTTGTAACAGAGATTGATTCAGGGTCCTTTCTTTCTGCTGTTTTCCCAGACTACAGAGCAACACAGCAACCAGAGGATGTGCAAGGGCTTTATTTTTTAATTTTAATTTAATTTTATTTTATTTTATTTTGAGACGGAGTCTTGCTTTTATCGCCCAGGCTGGAGTGCAATGGCGCGATCTCGGCTCACTGCAACCTCTGCCTCACAGGTTCAAGCGATTCTCCTGCTTCAGCCTCCTGAGTAGCTGGGATTACAGGCACCCACCACAACACCTGGCTAATTTTTTGTATTTTTAGTAGAGATGGTGTTTCACCATGTTGGTCAATGCTGGTCTCAAACTCCTGACCTCAGGCGATCCACCTGCCTCAGCTTGGCCTCCCAAAGTGTTGGGATTACAGCATGAGCCACCGCACCTGGCCATGCAAGGCCTTTAGAATCCAACCCTTTCATTGTACAGATGGGGAAAATGAGACCCAGAGAGAAAAGATGGTTTTCCTAAAGTCACATGGTGAGTTTGTGCAGAAATTTTGTTGAATCCAGGTCTCATCCTTCATAAAAGATTCTCTAGCCACTGCTACAAGCTGCCAAGTGTCAGGTGGCCAGCAGATGATAATATCAGCGGCCTCAAGGACAACATGACGTTTTGGAATCCCAGACCTTGCATAGGGACTGGCATATTAAAATATGCAGAAACCGGGCACAGTGGCTTGCACCTGTAATCCCATCTACTTGCGGGGCTAAGGCGGGAGGATCACTGAAGTCTAGGAGTTCAAGACCAGCCTGAGTGATATAGCAAGACCCTGTCTCTAAAAAAAGTAAATAAATAAATAAATGTTGGTAGATTGAATTGTGGGATCATTAGTTCAGGTATGGGGGAGGGCTAATGGTGACAGCAGTGACTGTTGAAAAAGTCCAAAATCAGGCAGAAACTGGAATTCAAACGAGGGACTGAATGATGTAGGAGTCACAAGGGGTGTGTGTGCTTGTGTGTGTGTGTGTGAATGTTAATTCTGTCAACACTCAGACTTGAATATGAAAACTTGGCCAAAGAGACGTTCTGAGACAAAGGGCCTCTGTTCGCAGCTGGCTCAGACCCACCGAGGACAGCTCAGCAGGGCTGAGGAACACTCTGCTGCTCAGGCCCCCGACTGATAAGTGATTGAGACTGTCTGTGAATCATGGATACTTGGACATGCTGAGCCTGGGGAAGAATCACCCTGGACTGATGCCCGAACCGAATAGGCCTGATCCAGCTGGCCTTTCCAGGTCTCAAGTACAAACCGATGGCACGGATCTCTCTGGACACCACAGGGATGTGGAGGCGAGAGTGAAGTCTTGGAGCACACAGATGATACTTCAAGTCCTGATTCTGCCACTTGCTCAGTGGGTGACCTTGGGTAATTTACTAACTTATCCAAGTTTCCATAAAATGGAAGTGATTATTCTAACTTCGTTGTTGAGCACTGTGAGGACTGAGTAAGGTGAAGTATGGAAGCCATTTTGCACAGTGTCTGGTACATAGTAAGGACTCAGTAAGCGCTAGCTCCCTTTCCTACACTCTTCTCCATGGCATTCTACCTGTGTAGCTCACCTGGGATGTGGCTGACTCCCTGTCCTTGTCAATCTCTATTCAAATCTTATCTCGGCATAGAGGCTAGCCACCATATGTTAAATAACACCCTACTACGTTTAATTTTCCCCACATAATTATTATTGCCTGATATTATATTATATATTTATATATTTTTTTCTTTTTTTGAAACAGAGTCTCACTTTGTCACCCAGGCTGGAGTGCAGTGGTGCGATCTCAGCTCACTGCAGCCTCAACCTCCTGGGCTCAAACGATCCTCCCACCCCAGTCCCCAAAGTAGCTGGGACTACAGCACCTGCCACCACACCTGGCTACTACTTTTGTATTTCTTGTAGAGATGGAATTTCACCATGTTGCCTGGGCTTGTCTCGAACTCCTGAGCTCAAGTGATCTGCCTGCCCGCCTCAGCCTCCCAAAGTGCTAGGATTACAGGTATGAGCCACTGCACCCGGCCCTTTGATATGTTATTTTCTTTAAAGTTTGTCATCTTACCTGCCAATTGGGATATAAATTCCATGCAGGAAGGGATTGATTTTGTTCACTGCCTGACACATAATAAACCCTTAATAAACAAGTGAGTGTAGAGAAGGAGGGAGGCAGGAAGGAAATCTATTGAAAAGACTGTTGGCCAGGTGTGGTTGCTCACACCTGTAATCCTAGCACTTTGGGAGGCCGAAGTGAGTGGATCACTTGAGGTCAGGAGTTTGAAACCAGCCTGGCCAACATGGTGAAACCCCGTCTCTACTAAAAATACAAAAAAATTAGCCATGCATGGTGGTGCGTGCCTGTAATCCCAGCTAATCGGGAGGCTGAGGCAGGAGAATTGCTTGAACCCAGGAGGTGGAGGTTGCAGTTAGCCAGGATCACACCACTGCACTCCAGCCTGGGTAACAGAGCGAGACTTTGTCTCAAAAGAAAATAAAAGACTGTTGAAGCTGCTCCTTCTTCTCTTGTCAGATGTGACCACTTCCTTTTGGTAATTTTGTTTTGAAGGTATGGAAGGGGATGCATGAGTTGGATGCAGTGAGACTTTGGAATTAATACATCAGTTAACAATTATAATTCCAGGTACCTGGAAAATTTGCCTTAAATTTCTCTTCTTAAAATTTCGTTAAACTATACACTTATGGTTTGAATAAATGTTATCTGAATAAATCTGAATAAATGTTATACTCCAATTAAAACATTTACTTTTAAAAAGTAAATGACACCAGAGCCCATATCATGGTTTATAATACCATTGTCCAATAAAAGGAACTAGGCCTCCTTAGAGAAATGGCTGATCTAGGGCTGAAGAAGAGAACATACAAGATGAGCCTTGAGCGTCGTATAGTTCTAGAAAGTAAGGAAGTGTTCAAAAATCACAATGATGGGGGTGTGTCAAAGGGACATAGGAGACAACTGAAAGAGCTCCCAATGGCTAACGACATTTGAGCAACAAAAAGCCAGTTGTGGTGGCACATGCCCAGCTACTCAGGAAGCTGAGGTGGGAGGATCCCTTGAGCCTAGGAGTTCAAGGCTATACTGAACTATGATTGTGCCACTGCACTCCAGCCTGGGTGACAGGGTGAGACCCTATCTCTAAAAAAAATAATAATAAGGTATAAAATAAATATCCATGAGTCCATACGGGTATAAAGAAATGACTGAGTAAATAAACAGGGACAAATAGACAAATCTCCTGTACAGAAGAATTCCAAATAATTTATGTAAATACTCTGCCCTCAAAGAGGTGGAGCATATCTCCCCACTGCTTAAGTGTGGACTGTACATATTGACTTTCTTTTAAAGAGTGCAGTATGGAAAGAAGGGGGAAAAAAGAGTAACTTTGCAATGGAGAAACCTGATACATACCGCCTCAGTCAGGTGATTGGTGTTAACACCATCAGTGATAAGTCATGTTAATGGCATGCACCATTAATATGATGGGATGAGAATGGCCGTTTACCTCTGTGGTCTTCTTCCCCAAAACCTATAACCTCTATCTAACCAAGAGAAAAACATCAGACCAATTCCAGTAGAAAGACATTCTGGCCAGGAGCAGTGGCTCACCTTGTAATCCCAGCAGTTTGGGAGGCCAAGGCAGGCAGATTGCTCAAGCCCAGGAGTTTGAGGCCAACCTGGGCAACATGGTGAAACCCCATCTCTATAAAAAAAAAAAATACAAAAATTAGCCAGTATGGTGGCACGTGCCTGAGGTAGGAGGATCACCTGAACCTGACAGACAAGGTTGCAGTGAGTAAAGGTCATGCCACTGCACTCCAGCCTGGGCAACAGAGCAAGACTCTGTTTCAAAAAAGTTATATATATATATATATATATATATATATATATATATATATATATATATATATATATATATAATGGCTAGAAGGAAATACAGTATATCAAAATGTTAACAATGGTCATCTCTGAGCGGTAGGTATCATGGATGTTTTTACTGCCTATTTGCTTCTTTTAGGCTTTCCAGATTTTCTACAATAAATTATTTTACGTTGAAAAATGAAGAAATATAAAATAAGAAAAGCAGATAATTTATTTGCCTGCCTCTCCCATTAGATTGTGAATTCCTTGAAGACTTAAGGGCTTGAGGAATTGTCTTGCTCACTTTAGCACCCTGGCATCTAGCACTCAGACTGGCACAGCATAGGTTCTCTGTAAATATTTAAGTGAAAAGCCTATATTCTTTTCTGCTTTGAGCATAGAGTCTCTTATTTAAGGCACACTTTTTTAGCAAATTTGGCCTGCTTTCTAGGGTATAGCTGATTAGAAATGACAGCCTCCAAGATAAATAGAGGACCTGCTAAAGGCTCTCATTCAATGACAGCAGCAATAGTTACATTATTGTCTTAATTAATTTGGCCCTCATGCCAATCTGTTATTCCACAAACATTTATTGAGCACCTACTATCTGCACAGAATTCCTTTCTTTAAAGAGTTTAAATATAATCCTTATTTATAAATGAGAACACAGATTCAGAAAAGTGATTCACTCAGGTTATATACAGAAATCGGTGGAAAGGCTGAGATTCTTATCTCATGCTGTTCACCACCCCACAAGGCTTTTTAACAGTTGATAAATATTTGAATTATTATGGTCTGTGTGGCAGACATACAGGTAGACTGGCAGGCAGAAAGAAAGAAAAGGCAGTAGGCAGGTAAATTGGCAGTCAGGTAAGCAGGGATGTAGGTCTACTGGTCTCATGAGAATCAGTTGGATTGCTAGAGGCAAACATGGATCTCAGAGAGAAGTGAGTGCTCACAGCAGAACAAGGACGGTGGAGACAGAAACACTACAAAACCAGACCCAAACCTCTGCTGTACATTACAGCCTAAAACAGGCCTTGAGTCTTCAAGAACGTTTAAATTATTATTATTATTATTATTATTATTATTATTTTGAGACAGAGTCTCACTCTGTCGCCCAGGCTGGAGTGCAGTGGCACAATCATGGCTCACTGCAGCCTTGACCTCTCTGGGCTCAGGTGACCCTCCCACCTCAAGGTAGCTGGGACTACAGGCATGCACCACCATGCCTGGCTAATTTTTCTATTTTTTGTAGAGACGAGGTTTTGCCATATTGCCCAGGCTGGTCTCAAACTTCTGGGAAAGTACAAATTTTGTTTAGGATTCTATATATTAGAGGTCAGGGTCTTTTATTATGTCTAGAAAAATTTCTCATTGAAAATGTAGACAACATGTTGGCACCTGAAGAGATAAGCTTTAACGTATCTAGCAAATTCTCTTTTGAAGAATACAATCTGATTATGTGGAATAAAGGCAGCAAATACATATTTTTATCTAAATAAGCATTTCTAATGGATCTAATCTGTCTGAGGCTAAGGACTAGGTGCCCAGAAAGCACAACTTTTACCTTCAAATCTAAAAATATTTACATCTCTTTACCTATGTATATCTTTGTATACATATACACATACGCACAGATTACATATGCACACAAATACTCAAGTAGTATTTATTGATCACTTCTAGTGTGCCTAACATGGTGTTGCATGCAGTTTCACTTAATTCTCCCAGAAGAAACTCTGTACCTTAGGTCCCCATTTCTACAGATGAAAAAACTGAATCTCAGAGAGGGTCAAGATTCTGCTGAAGAGGCTGCAGTGAGCTGAAATTGGACCACTGCACTCCAGCCTGGGCAACAGAGTGAGAATCCATCTAAAAAAAAAAAAAAAAAAATTCTGCTGAAGGTGGTGGCAGAAACGAGTCCCTAGCCAGGTCTTTTGATTTGAGCTACATCACAAGCCAGACACTCTGGGAAGTACAGATACAGAGATAAGTTCATGTGACATTCAGGCATGCCTTCTCTGAAGTCTGCCTTGACCCTGAGGAGCAGTCAGTGTTTTTCTGAATTTTATTGCCCTGTGCTTTCTATCACTACCCTTACCACACTGTTGTTTGACTTGTCTGTTTACTTGTTTACTGTTTGTTTACTTATCCGTCTCTTTCACCAGATTATGAACTCCCTAAAGCTCACAGGTCCCTGAAAGGACTTTGTCAGATTCTCATTTCTGTGCACCTGATACCTGGCACAGAGTGATGCTCAATAAGCGTTTCTTGAAGAAAGGAATTAATGAGCCCAAAACAAGGGTGCAGAAGAACTGGGTTCTAGTCTCAGATCTGTAACTGACAAGTCTGTGTGCATGGGCAAGTCACTTCCTTCTCTGGGTTTCAGTTTCCCTACCTCTAATATGAGGAAGTCAGATTAAATGACCACTAAAGGGTCATTCTGGCTTGAGCCTTTCATGATGTTATGATGTTAAGAGAAAAAATGTGAAAAGTTAAAGGGACTTCATTAATCATATGATATTATTCTCCTAACAAAAAGAGAGCCTCCTTGTTTTGAGACACCCTAAATTGTGTCAGGTTTCATTTGTATTGATACTGTTCACCCAGAAAAATAATTAGCACTGAGAAGTTTTGAGTTCTATTCTAACCTCTTCTACCATAAAGTTCAAGGCCAAAGTTATACAACTATTTCTACAAGCTTTTTAGAATCAATTAACATTTGTCAAATGGAGAATAAAAGAGTCAATCCATTAGTAAGGCTAAGAATCTTATGGCTTAGGCAAAAGACATGATCATGCATCCATTCAGTTATTCACAAATATTTTTCGTTATTACTCTGTGCTAAATACTGGCACACAACGGTCAGCAGAATAGTTATAGATTTTACTAGTCTGGTAGGGAAGACAGACATTACTCAAATTATACACAAACTATTAATTACAGACCGTGAAGTGCTATGATTGACTCTTAAATTTGTGGCACACTTTTCGGGTTATAAAGGGCTTTTCTCACACGTGATTTCATGGGAAGTCATATAAAGAAGTTAAAAGTACAGATTTTGGTGTTACCTAGAACCGGGTCTGAGCCTGGCTTACCCACTTACTTACAACTGGGCTTTTGGGCAAGATTCTGAGCTTCTGTTTCTCTATCTTTTGAATGAGGAAAAAACAGGACATTCATCACAGGGCTGTTAAGAGAATGCAATGAGATGATGCATGAAAGTACTCAGCACAATGCCTGACATACAGTTCTAAACAGTAGCTATGGTTATTACACACATTTTTTCTACATAGCACTTTTTCTTTCTTCTTTCAGAGAAAAGACAATGTATTACGCCATTCTTGCATTGCTATAAAGAAATGCCTGAGACTAGGGCCGGGAGTGGTGGCTCACGCCTGTAATCCCAGCACTTTGGGAGGCCTAGGTGGGTGGATCACGAGGTCAGGAGACGGAGACCATCCTGGCTAACACGATGAAACCCTGTCTCTACTAAAAATACAAAGAATTAGCCGGGCGTGGTGGCACGCTTGAACCAGAGGCGTTGGTTGCAGTGAGCCGAGATCATGCCACTGCATTCCAGCCTGGGCCAGAGCAAGACTTCGTCAAAAAAAAAAAAAAAAAAAAGAAAAGAAAAAGAGAAATGCCTGAGACGGGGTAATTTATAAAGAAACGAGGCTTAATTGGCTCACGATTCTGCAGGATTTACAGGAAGCATGGTTCTGCCATCTGCTCAGCTTCTAGGGAGGCCTCAGGAAGCTTATAATCATGGCGGAAAGTGAAGAGGGAGCAGGTACGTCACATGGTGAAAACAGGAAGGAGACAGAGAGAGTAGGAAGGGGAGGTGCCACACACTTTTAAACCACCAGATCTCAGAGCAAACTCAGAGCAAGAGCTCACTGATCACCAAGAGGATACCCCAAGCTATTCATGAAGGATTCTCCCCACGATCCAAACACCTCCCACCATGCCCCACCTCCAACATTGGAAATTACAATTCAACATGAGGTTTGGTGGGGACATACATTCAAACTATATCAGACAGTTTTGAAATCAGATTTGGGTTCAAATCTCAGGTCTACCACTTACAAGATGCAAAATGGAATTTAAAAATGCCTATCTAACCAGGCCTGGTGGCTTATGCCTGTAATCCCAATACTTTGGGAGGCCAAGGAAGTAGGATCGCTTGAGCCCAGGAGTTTGAGACCAGCCTGGCTAACATAGTGAGATCCTAATTTCAACAAAGAATCAAAAAATTAGCCAGGTGTAGTGGCATGCTTGTGGTCCCAGCTGCTTAGGAGGCTGAGTTGGGAGGATTGCTTGAGCCCAGGAGATTGAGGCTGCAGTGAGCCATGATCATGCCACTGCACTGCAACCTGGGCGACAGAGCAAGACCCTGTCCCAAAACAAACAAACAAAAAAACCCAAAAAAACCCTAAAAACAGAAAGCAAAAACAACCAACAAAAAACCTATCTCACAGCATTGTCCATGAGCATGAATAAGGTGAAGTTTTTAGGGAGCCCCATGAGGGCCTAATACATAACACATCTTTTTGCCTTGGCATCTACCCTTATCCTTCACTGGGTCGATGATGGTCAGAGAAGCAGGATCCACTTCATTCAAGCCACAGCAAGTTAAGGCACAAAGAAGCTCTGAGGCCCCTCCCTCAGGAGGGAGTGACAGAGGTGGTCACCAAGACCTGTCTAATTACCATGACCTTGAAAGAGACGGGGAGACCACAGAAAGTGTTGAGGAGGTAAAACCTCTTCCCTTTTAGAATTTTTTCAGCTGGGCCTGAAAATTAAATTGACATCAGACAGATTAACAGGAGAAAAGCATAGAAATGTATTTAATGTAAGTTTTATGTGACATGGGAGCCCTCCTAAGGAAATGAAGACCTATAGAAGCAGTTAGAGTCAATTACTTATGTGGTGAATGGGCAAAGAATAGTAAGTTGTGAAATGTGGTAAGGGAAAGGGGCTTGGGCCAGGATAATTAGGTAGAGAAGTGATGAGGGAGATAAGGGTTAGTTTAACAAAGTTTGTTTATATAGATTTCCTTTGGCTTCAACTTCCTGTCTTTGATAATAAAAATGTTACTTTCCTTTTGGTATAGGGAAGACATCTTTCATGTGGGGATTTTATCCCCTGCTTTTCAGAAACAGAATGAAGGTCAGAGTGATCTTCTTGCACTTGCTGTTTTATAAGTGCCTTTAATTCAAAATAGTCGATATGGAAGAGCAGCATATTTTGGAGTGCCATGTTCTTAACTCTTTCAAAAGCAAGCTCAAGTCCCCTGGGTCTCATAAGGGGAAACAGTTGAGTCATCAGACGTGAGTAATAGGAGCTGACAGAGCCAGCTCAGGGTGGTCTTACTGGATGTGTGTTGATGTGGGATATTCATAGGTAGAGATAAGGTAATAAACCTAGGTATTGGGGGCTGGGCACGGTGGCTCACGCCTGTAATCCTAGCACTTTGGGAGGCCGAGGCAGGCGGATCACTTGAGGTCAGGAATTCGAAACCAGACCGACCAACATGGTGAAACCGCATCTCTACTAAAAATACAAAAAAAAAAAAAAATTAGCCGGGTGAGGTGGCGGGCACCTGTAATCCCAGCTACTCAGGAGTCTAAGGCAGGAGAATCCCTTGAACCTAGGAGGCTGAGGTTGCAGTGAGCCGAGATCAGGCCACTGCACTCCAGCCTGGGAGACAGAGCAAGACTCCGTCTCAAAAAAATGAAACAAACAAACAAAACCTAGATATTGGGGAGTGGGAGTAGAGAACTATCCATTGAACTACAAGGAGAAGATCAAATAAAGTTTACCCTGAAGGCCTCTTCCAGCTCAAGCTGCCAAATTGCCCTGTGACTCTGGGACCCATAGTGGGCCCAGGAAATGGGAGTCAGCAACTCTGAAGCATAAAATCAGAAAGGCACTGAACATTTGGTTGGAGTGCCAAGACCCAAGAAGAATGCCTCTTTGTCTACATGCCATCCATGCCAAAGCAAAACAAATTTATCAGCATCTCCTTGAAACTACAAGAAAGAGATTAAAAAGTTTAAGAAACAGAACAGGGTAAATGGAAATTGATTGCTCATTGTCATCATTACTAATTCAAGAAGGTATAAAATGTTGTTGCTAATCTCTTTACTTGGTGAGCTGATTTTATTATTTTACTAAACATAAATATGTGTAAGGGATGAGTCCCTCTAAGCACATTTTTCCATCTACTTTTATGAGAATAAATGTTTCATGCCTTTCTTTTGTTTTTGTTTTTGTCTATGATCACCCAACCACCAAATTCATTTCCTTTATTATTATTTTTTTTTTGATACAGAGTCTCGCTCTGTCGCACAGGCTGGAGTGCAATGGTGCATTCTCGGCTCACTGCAACCTCTGCCTCCTGGGTTCAAGCGATTCTTCTGCCTCAGCCTCCTGAGTAGCTGGGACTACAGGCATCCGCCACCGCGCCTGGCTAATTTTTTATATTTTTAGTAGAGACAGGGTTTCACCATATTGGCCAGGCTGGTCTCGAACTCCTGACCTTGTGATCTGCCCACGTTGGCCTCCTAAAGTGTTGGGATTACAGGCATGAGCCACCGCGCCCGGCCTGTTTCATGCCTTTCAACCATACATTCCCATGGTGATTTTCAGCTCTTAATTGTCATGGAGGAGGGTGAAGTAGGATATTAAAGTAGAAGTGCCTCAACTACTTGGTATTCAAGCCACTCCACATGATAATACACAAATAGTGGGATTCAGACAATTGGACAATGAAAGGAATTTCAGGAATATCAGAGTCATCCCTTGACATACCTTTACCGTTCCTGTAAGTCTTGGTCAGTATTAGCTGCATTTTGTCTTTACGTTCTTTTTTTCTCCTTTACTCATAGATGAATGGAAAAAACGATGGGTGCAGTCTAAACATCAGCCGGATTATGGTAAATTTCAGCTCGCTGCAGGATAATTTTATGGAGACAAAGAAAAAGATAAAGGTAAATACTGGAACTCAGTATTAGCACATATAATTATTGTATATTAATATACTAATTGGGAAAATTCTGACTTTTATACAACTGTTTTTGTCTGTGATATCACCCAGTCACCAAATTCATTTCCTTTTTTTTTTTTTTTTGAGATGGAGTCTCACTCTGTCGCTCAGACTGGAGTGCAATGGTGCAATCTCGGCTCACTGCAACCTCCGCCTCCCGGGTTCAAGCGATTCTCCTGCCTCAGCCTCCTGAGGAGTTGGGACTAAAGGCTCACGCCACCCTGCTCAGCTAATGTTTATATTTTTAGTAGAGACGGGGTCTCACCATGTTGGCCAGGATGGTCTCCATCTCTTGACCTTGTGATCTGCCCGCCTTAGCCTCCCAAAATGCTGGGATTACAGGTGTGAACCACCGTGCCTGGCCTTTTTTTTTTTTTTTTTTTTTTTTTGAGATGGAGTTTCATGCTTGTTTCCCAGGCTGAAGTGCAATGGTACAATCTCGGCTCACCACAACCTCGGCCTCCCAGGTTCAAGTGATTCTCCTGCCTCAGCCTCCCAAGTAGCTGGGATTACAGGCATGCACTACCATGCCCGGCTAATTTTGTATTTTTAGTAGAGACAGAGTTTCACTATGTTGGTCAGGCTCATCTCAAACTCCCAACCTCAGGTGATCTGTCTGCCTCTGCCTCCCAAAGTGTTGGGATTATAGGTGTGAGCCACTGCACCCGACCTTTTTTTTTTTTTTGGAGATGGAGTCTCACTCTGTCACCCAGGCTGGAGTGTAGTGGCACAATCTTGGCTCACTGCAACCTCTGCCTCCCTGGTTCAAGCGATTCTCTGGCCTCAGCCTCCCAAGTAGCTGGGACTACAGGCATGTGCCATCACACCCAGCTAATTTTTGTATTTTTAGTAGAGACAGGATTTCACCATGTTAGTCAGACTGGTCTCAAACTCCTCATCTCAGGTGATCCGCTCACCTCAGCCTCCCGCATTGCTGGGATTACAGGTGTGAGTGCCACTGCGCCTGGCCCACCCAATTCATTTCTCTTTCCTAAAATAAAAAATTAGTAGATGGAGTGCTCACTTTGGCAGCACATATACTAAAAAAATTAGCAGATGGAAAAGAATGAACTCTCCACAAATATAATATGTCCATTCATTGAATAACAGGAGTTCAAAACTAAGCCCTTCCACAAATCCCCGTTAGTCTTCCTAACAACTTTAATATGTGATTACTATTACTTTCCCAGTTTTTCAGAGGAGCCTCAGAGAGGTTATTTGCCCAAGGCTATATACACAGCTGGCAAGAGGTAGAATCTGATTCTGGATCTGACTGTAGGGACTATATTCATTACTGCTGGACTATGCTGCTTTCCCCAACCCCCTAGGATTTTAAAAATAGCACGCTGCACTTGAAACAGGGGAAGACACTGTATAACATCCAAATGTTCTTCTTCCCTAGAGGAGCTTAGTGTGACGGAGAGAGGAGCAGACAGACCTAGGGCTAACTCCCATGACTTACTAGCTGCATAATTTCGGCAATTCTTATTTCTCTGAGCTTCAATACTAGATGGAGATAATAACCATTGCCTGCCATGCTCATTAGACAGGGCTTTTGTTAAGAGCCAAATAACATTGTGGAGGAAGGGTGAGCTCTGAGCACAAGTTCTGCAGGATTGGGTTTTTTGTCTGAGAAAGCTTTTGTCCGCTAAGTAGAATTCATTGATCTTTCCCTGAAGTGATTTCCTATCTTCTTCCTCCTGGCTACTGTTATGAATCTCATTTTCATATTGATTAAAGGAGAGAATTATGAACTGGCTTGAGAATCTTAAATTTTAAATCCACTCTGGAAAACTGTTCCCAGAGTATTAAACGGTATTAAAGGGAAAACCATTTCCAGAGTAGAGAGAAATTGGAGACGGTGTGACCCACGGGAAGCTGTGCCTTGGTGATGCCAGTGAGGGTAGTCTGCTCAGCCACTCATCTCCTCTCAGTGTGGTTTCTTGGTTGTTGTCCCTCACATTGTATCCCACTCAGGTTCATTGGATTCCTCCTAGTTCTTTAGAAGAGTCCTGGGTTACAAAAGAGGCTCAGAGAGAAGGCAGGTGGAATTGAGCTACGAAGTAGGGTTTGGCAGAATAGAGACTCAAAACTTGGTCTTGCCTGCAGGTTCGGTGCTCTTTGCCTTGTGCACACGCCCTCCTCCGTGAAGTCTTCCCTGGTTACTCTAGCTGTTCTTGGGGTCTTTGGGGAAGTAAGCATACTTTGTTCAATTTTGTTTTGTTTTGATTAAGACAGGGTCTTGCTCTGTCACCCAGGCTGGAGTGCAATGGTGTGATCGTAGCTCACTGCAGCCTCAAACTCCTGGGCCCAAATGCTTCTCCCACCTCAGCCTCTGGAGTAGCTGGGACTACAGGCATGTACCACCATCCCCAACTAATTTTTAATTTTTTTTGCAAAGACAAGGTCTCATTATGTTGCCCATGCTGGTCTTAAACTCCTGGCCTCAAGCAGTCCTCCTGCCCTGACATACTAAAGTACTGGGATTAGAGGCATGAACCACCATGCCAGGCCAAGCATATTATTTAAAATGTAGACAACTCCTAACATAATGTCAGACATGAAAGTGTTTACCACAGAGCCTGGTGTACAATAAGTGCTCTTGAGATGTCTGAATCAGGACCTGTGATTCTTCTGTGTAATTTAACACATACTTATTGAGTCTTTCTTCTATGTCAGGTCCTGTTCCAGATTCAGGGAATATAAAGATGCACCTGTTCTTCAGAAGCTAAAAATTATTCAAAGAGACTGAAATAAACCTAGTTTCAACATAGTGTGACCCAGGAAAGTACAGAGAGCTGTGGGATCATAAGGAAGGACCCAGCCGGGTGTGGTGACTCACGCCTGTCAGGAGTTCGAGACCAGCCTGGCCAACATGCTGAAACCCCATCTCTACTAAAAATACAAAATTAGCCGGGCGTGGTGGCGGGAACCTATAATCCCAGCCACTTGGGAGGCTGAGGCAGGAGAATCATTTGAACCTGGGAGGCGGAGGTTGCAGTGAGCCGAGATTATGCCACTGCACTCCAGCCTGGCGACAGAGCAAGACTCCGTCTCCAAAAAAAAAAGGAACCTCACCAAGTACGAATAATGATAGCCCCTTACATTTTATGTTGACAGTTTACAAAGTACTTCTCAGATCTCTTACTCACTTGACCTTCACCAGGAATCCTATGAGATAGGAATAATTCTCCACGTTTTGCTGATATGAAACTGAGACTCAGAGAGTTAACAGAGCCCTAACCAGTAAGCTGGGCAGCAGCATGGAATAATAGAAAGACCACTAGCCTGGAGGCCAGGAGACTTTGCTTGTATGGCATGATTTCATTTGTGACTCTGTCATCTTGAGTAAGTAACCTTTCCTCCCTGGGGCTTGGTCTGCTCATCTATAAAGTAATGTGGTTAGACTAGAAAGGCTCTGAGATCTATTATTACCCTGATACTCTCTGGAGGAGGAAGTAAAGTCTTATAGTTGAAGATGGGGGCTCTAGAATTAAATGAACTGGTTGAGTGATCCTGCACAAGTGAAATAGCCTCAATGGCTTCATGATAAAGCAGAGAAATTAGGAGAACCCACTTCATGGGGTTATTATGAAGATTAAGTACAGTAGTAATATATGTGAATGAAACACATTGGTAACGAGTAAGTGTTCAGTGAATGTTAGCAGTGATTACTATTTGATCTACGAGGCTATGGTAGAAAGATGTCCAGAAAGTGCAGGGGCTCTTTCTACCACAGCATTTTTGTATGGTAGAACCTCATTCTGGTCACCCAGGGGAGCCTCGGAAAAACAGGCCTTTGTTTTGTAAAGTTGTAGAACAGTCTTCAAGTATCTCTTGAAAATCAGAGGTAGCATGGTATGCAGAAAGAATCAGACAAACGTGGCTTAAAATTCCAGCTTGGCTCCTTGCTAGCTATGTGGCCCTAGGCAGGTGACTCACCTCCTTATGACTCAGCCTCCTGATTGTAAAGTGGAGATAATACTCATTTTGCAGGGTTGCTCTGAGGCTTGAATAAAAGTATGTGTGCAAAGCTTTCAGCACAGGTATGGAAGAAAATACCAGAGATTGGTGAGGTCAAGTGCTGGATCTCTCTGGCTGCTTTTTGGGTATTTAAGCCTGAAGACTCTGTGCTTTCTGCTTCTAGGTCTCCAAACCAGTGAACATGCCAAGTTTTATGCCTTCTCAACCAGGTTGAAGCATTCAGCAATGAGAATGAGACCTTGGTGTTTCAGTTTTCAGTAAAACACAAGCAAAGGAAGTATTGTGGTGGCGGATATGTAAAACTCTTTCCTGCCACCCTGAACCAGGAGGATATGCACTCAGGATCCAAGTATCACATCATGTTTGGTAAGCTCTCTGATAGCAGTCACTGTCAGCTCCATTAGGTCCTAATGACAGCCACTGTAGTTGTTGAAAACGCTCAGATTCACTTGGAACAGAAAATGTCTAATATGATAACTCCACCCCGCCTCCATGTGGCAGGACTCTTCAAAGACCTGAAAAAAGCAACTCTAAACCTGAATGTTAATATAAGTAAACCACAGAGGTGGGGAGGCACATGGTACCATATTAAGAAATCTATAGCACAGGGAGACATTTTCCAGTTCTCAGAAGAGGAGAAGGAGGTCATCAGCTACGTAGACCCTCTCACAGGTACACTACAATAAGGCATTGTACTCTGCCTCAGTGAGAGAAAGGCACAGGAGGTCAAGGAAGTGACCTTTTTTTAGCATCTGAAATGTGTCCAGAGTGTTGTATCTGTAACCTAAATATGTAACTAGGCCTCCTTGGGGCAGTCCAGATCTTACTTAAGCACGTGTGTGTTTTGGATAGTGAGAGTGGTAACATGGGAGGTAAGGTTGAAAATTAAGTTAAGGCTGGGTGCAGTGGCTCACCCCTGTAATTCCAGCACTCTGGGTGGCGGGGGGCTGAGGCGGGTAGATCACTTGAGGTCAGGAGTTCGAGAGCATCCTGGCCAACATGGTGAAACCCCATCTCTACTGAAAATACAAACATTAGCCAGGCATGGTGGCTAGCACCTGTAATACCAGGCAGGATAATTGCTTGAACCTGGGAGATGGAGGTTGTAGTGAGCCGAGATTGCACCACTGCACTCTAGCCTGGCTGATAGAGCAAGACTCCGTCTCGAGAAAAAGAAAAATTAGCCAGGTGTGGTGGCGGGAGCCTGTAATTCCAGGTACTCAGGAGGCTGAGGCAGCAGAATTGCTTGAACCTGGGAAGCAGAGGTTGCAGTGAGCTGAGGTTGCACCACTACACTCCAGCCTGGGCGACAGCCTGGGTGACAGAGTGAGACTCTGAGACTCCGTCTCAAAAAAAAGAAAAGAAAAGAAAATTATGTTAAATCTATTCCCAACTGTTGGCAGATAAGGCTTTCTGGGCTCAGAGACACTGATGATCTCTAGAGTTCCCTCTAGAGTTTTTACAAAGCATAAAGGGCCCCAGGCTCTGTTTCTAGGTAGCCTTGGGTTTGAATACCAACAATGCTACTTACTAGCTGTTTGTCTTTGAGCAACCTGCTTAACTGTTCTGAGCCACAATTTTCCCAGCTAAAAGTGGGGGATAGTAACACCTACTTGTAAGAATTAAATGACATGGTATAAAATGCCTGACACAGAAGGGGTTTCTGGTTGGGTTTGGTCAATGGGAGCCCTGGGAGATCAGAGATGGAAAAGAGAGTTGTGTTCCTCAACTGAAAGTCAGCTTCTCTCTTGCCTGTCTTTTCCACAGGATTCTTTCTTCCAGGCTCTGGCAAGCACTCCTTCTAGCCCCTTTAGGCCTAGGGGTAGAACCCCATTGTTGCTAGCCCTGAGCATAGCACTATACTTTATGTTTTCACAATGTCCTGCCCCAACCTTTGTAAATAGTCCTTTTATTAAATCCTTCTCAAATAATCCCAAATTTGATTGTGCCATCTATATCCTGCTGGGACTCTGATTAATACACATGCTGTGTTTGTCTTGGGTCTTGGCCTTAGACCAGGCAAACTGCCTTAAAGCTATGTGAAATTATGCTTTGGGGTTTAATTTCCAGGCCCTGACATTTGTGGCTTTGGCAACAACAAAGTACAGGTCATCCCTCATTACTGAGAGAAATACCATGAGAACAAGACCATCAAGTGCAGGGTGAGTGTGTGCTGGTCCTCAGCCAAGGGGGAAGGAGATGCATTTTATATGTGTTATCTCATTTAATTCTTACAAAATCTTATAAATTAAATACTGTCATCTCCATTTTACAGGTTAAAAAGTAGATCTAGAGAAATGCTGTAAATTGCAGGATTTCATCAAGGAGCAGTTGATCCAAAAGCCTAAGAAGTTATATGAGGTCCTCCTGTGGAACAATGCTTGGCATAGCCCAGTTCCCCACTGCTAGACATGGGAGAGGATGGGGGAGGGAGGGAGTGTTGGACTTAGAAATGGGGATGGGTAGTCAGTTTATCATAGTAACATCAAGTTAGAGACACCTAGGTTGGCTAGAGGATAGTAGGTGGATTTCATCAGCAACTCAACAGGGATTCAAATACTAACTCTGTTTTGGGCCTTAGGCTGGGGACAGAGTGGGCCAGACATGGCCTTTGACTTCACAGAACTCACAGTCAATGAAGGTAAGAGTCAAGCAAAGTGACTACCTAGTATGCTGGGCATCTGTGGGAGCACAGAAGAGGACCCCTACCCAACCTGGAGGCTAAGGAAATACTTCTTAGGTAAGAGTTCTCCTGAGCTGCACTTCAGAAGATGAACATGACTTGATCTTGTGAAGTGATAAGACAATTTTAGGGAGAATTGAATTCTTAGAAAAGATAATCACAGAAGGAAAGTCACAGCGACTTGAGAAAGAGTAGCACTGCAAGTGGGAGCATGGAGAGAGGCAGGAACCGAGCCTAGAAAAGCCCACAGGAGTCATTGGAGAATGAGTGTTTCACACCCAAGGCCTTCTTTAGCAAGACTGTGTAAAGGCTGTACCATGCAGGAGCTCTCTGAGATCCTCCTCTGGGGCAGGCCTCATGCTGGAAGCTGCAGACACAACAGACAAATCATATATGACACCTGCTCACAGTCTAGTGGGACAGGCAGAAAGACAGGTAAGATCAGAGAATGATGAGAGCTGCAGTGCAGGGAAGGATGAAGGCTAGGGAGACCAGAGGAGTGTGTACTATGAGAAGAGGCCCAGAATCCATATAAGGTTAACCAGAAAAATGGGTTAAAGAGTGTGGTAAGGTTTGTTTGTGACTATGTGGGTGGTGGCATTCAGGGAACTGAGGGTCTGGTGCATTTAATGCTTGGGATCTAAAGATGTTCAAAATGGAACTGAAATATTTCCCCATTCCCTTTATAGATCAATAAAGACCCTCACCTGTACACTCTGATTATTCGCCCCAATGCTACTTATGAGGTTAAAATTGACAACCAGCAGGTGGCAGCTGGGGCTCTGGAGGAGGACTGGGACTTCTTGCCTCCCAGGAAAATAAAAGACCCTACGCCCAGAAACCAAAGAAATGGGATGAACGCCTGCACATAGAGGATCTGGAAGACAAGAAACCTGACATCAGAGGGCATTTGGCTGGGAAGCAGGTGGGATCTCAGCTGTGGAGATAGGAGAAGGAGGCTGGGAATGATGGAGCAGAGACTGGGGACATCAATCCCTCAAGGAGTTGTTCAGCTAGATATTGTTTTCCAAAGAGGCATGGAGGGAAGAGGGCAGCCACTCACCTTTGTTGGGGATCCAGCAGCCTCTGTGAACAATGTGTTATGATCCCTCTTTTGTGGATAAGGAAACTGATGCTTAGAAAATGAAGTAACTTGCCCAAGCATACATGCGTTAGAACCAAGATTTGAACCTACATCTTTTTGACTCTTAAGTTATCAATATGGGGAATGTGTGGAGTATACTCATTGGCTCATTATTATTATTCTGGAAAGCTGTACTGGATATAGCTATGAATAGAACAACCCTTGCCCTCTAGGGATTCTGAATATAGTAAGGGAGGCAGATAAGAAAACAAAGATCAAAATATGTGATCAGTGCTGAGAGCCAGGGAGGCAAGCCAGTGAGAGCCCAAAAGCGGATCCCAGCCCAGCCTGAGTTGAGGTGTAGGCAGTGGTCTGAGAAAGAGAAGGAAATGCTTGAGTGAGTGAGTTAACCTAGGAGTTGGAAACATAAACTCTGGGGTCAGGCTGATATGGGTTGGAGCACCACCTTTTTCTAACTATGGGACCCCATCCTACTAGCAGTTAACTCTGCACAAGGAATATAACTGCTGTGAAAGTCAACTTCACAAACAGGTATTATTTTAATACTTACGTGTGAAGGTTACTGTGAAGATTAAATGAGCTAATAAAAAATACATAATGTAGTGTCTGGTATATAGGAAGTCCTTAATGTATGGCCTTTATATGTTAATAATATGCTGAATTTCAAATAATAGATTTATTAGAGAAAAGTAAGAGGGAAACTGGGGTGGAGGGAAGACATTCCAGACTCAGGGAACAGCAGGAGCAAAGGCACAGTGGTTAGTTAGGAAATAACATGGTGTGTAAAAAACTGACAGCAGTAGTTCAGTATTTGGGGAACATAAGGTTCAAGGTGGGGCATGGTAGGAGATAAGGTTGGAAAGGTCTGTTGGAGCCAGGCCAGGAAGGGCCTCACCCACCACATTGCTACTCTGCAGGTCAGAGCAGAGTCAGTGTCATGCAGAAGAGATGCTTGAGGTCAGGCAGGGGTCAGCATGGGACCAGGTAACTGGAGTCCAGCCCCTAAAGAGAGGCCTGCAGAGAGACGGGCAGTTGCCTAGCCACGTGTAGGGAGATTTAGCAAAGGGCCCCAATCCTTGGTGGAGGGAGGTGTAGTAAGGGAATTAAGGCAGATGATCAGGCAAAGTGTCTGGGCCTTCAGCACCATGGAAAAATAAGGGGCTGGGTTGCTGCCATGCCCAGAAGGCAGGCTTAGGGTAGGAAGACTAAACATGGACCCTCCCCTCCTGGTGAGGACCATGCACCTGATGTAGTCAGGGTTGGCTTGGCTCAAGGACTTGGGGAGAGTAGAGAGGCTGCAGGCCTCTATGCTCCCTGTTGAGTGGAACAAGGGAAGATGGAAACTGATTAAATCAACAGGGCACTGTCACAACTATAGCCCCCAGGATAGGATGCTGTCTGTCTTAGGAATCATAAAACGGCTAGAACAGGCTAGGAACCAGAGAACTTTCCCAATCACAATTGTGTTGAATGACTGTGAATTTGGTGGGCTGGCATAGAAGCCTTCAGTCATTCTGGACAAATGGTCACAACCAAAGCAAACTGCCAGGCAGGCAGAGCAAAGCCTTGGAGGCTCCACAGCATAGAAATATAAAAGTTGGGGTAGGCTGTTTTTGATCTTGTAGATCTCTGTCTTAGGAAATCAGAGGGTCCTGGGGTACAAGGAAGGACTGACACAGGCCTGGGAGCATACTGGGATACAAAGCAGGTCACCAAGAGGCCTTCAAGAAGAGGGACCTAGGCTAAAATACCTATTATAACAATAAGGGCCCATGATTGTGGGGGAGGGTGTGGCCAGAGACAAGGGAAATTCCCATCTTACTTAAGCTTAAAGAACTCAAGGTCAAAATGATAGTGAACCCAGAGGAGGGATTGGAAGTGCTTAAAGCCTCTTTCTTTTCTGCCCTGCATTTGTTTACAGGTCCTGAGCTGGACCTTCATATAGATGATGATGGGAGGGGGCAGAGGGAAGGAGCCAGGTCCAGCCTGACAGCACTCTGGACCCCCGTTTTCTTTTCTTTTCTTTTCCTTTCTTCTCTTTTCTTTCTTGCTTTCTTTTTTTTTTTTTTTTTTGAGATGATCTCGCTCTGTCACCCAGGCTAGAGTGCAATGGCATGATCATGGCTCACTGTGACCTCTGCCTCCTGGGCTCAGATCCTCCCACCAGGTGCATGCCACCACACTTGCCTAATTTTTAAAGTTCTTTGGGGTAGGGATGGGGTCTCACTATATTGCCCAGGCCGGTCTTGAACTCCTGGGCTCAAGCAGTCCTCCCACGTTGGCCTCCAAAGTGCTAGGATTATAGATGTGAGCCACCACGCCCAGCCTGGACCCCAGTTTTTTCTCAGCCTACGCATCTATCCTCATGAAGGAACATTTCATTTTAGTACTGGGAAGACTTTGAATACATCCTGGATCCAGAAGCCAAGAAGCCAGATAACTGGAAGGAGGCTATGGATGGGGAGTGGGAAAGGCCTCTGATGCCAAATCCGAAGTATAAGGTGAGGGGGGTCTCTCTTTCCAATGGGTGTGAGAAATGAGACAAAAGACATGTCAACGCTAATTGATGAAACAGAAATTCTGAGATCCTGTGGTCATCTTCCCTTCCCCTAAACCCCGCAAATAAGACTGTACCCTCATCTGAGCCCTGCTCACAGGGCTATGCCTACGTTGGACGGGGTGGGCTGGTAAAGGCCAACTTTGACAGGTATAGGGCCAGGCAGCCCTGGGCCTGGAGTTTGTCCAGAGTGGTGGAAAGCAGCCAGTCACAGGAATGTGGTCAAAATAGGACATGGGTTTGGGGTCAGGAACTGGAAGTCTTAGAAACAGGCCAGAAGGAGAAAGGGTGTCCATGAATGAGCCAAAAATGCAAGGGGTAGGGACACTTTTTATTTTATTTATTTATTCATTTATTTTGAGACAGAGCGTTGCTCTGTCACCCAGGCTGCAGTGCAGTGACGTGATCTCGGCTTACTGCAACCTCCACCTCCTGGGCTCAAGAGATTCTCATGCCTCAGCCTCCCGAGTAGCTGGGACTACAGGCACGTGCCACCACGCCTGGCTAATTTTTTGTATTTGCAGTAGAGACGCGGTTTCACTCTATTGGCCAGGCTGGTTTTGAATTCCTGACCTCAAGCGATCCGCCTGCCTTTGCCTCCCAAAGTGCTAGGATTACAGGAGTGAACCACTGCACCCAGCCAAGGGACACTTATTTTTAAGAGCTAACTCCTGACCTCATGTTAGAAGCAAGAAGAACGAAAGGAATCAGTGTCAAATTGTCCAGAGGTAAAACTGACTGAAGCAAGCATGATTTTATTTGGCCACAGTTTCCTACACTACACACCAGGAAGAGAACGGCCTCAACTGCCAGGATACTCAGATGATATTCTCTGAGAAGCTACATTTTCTTTATTTCATGAATGAGCTGGTGCAGACATGGGGCCAAGCTCAGAATGGGTCCCTGCCACCTCGCTTGGCTTCCTCTGGGTAGCAAGGGGAATTTGAAAGAATCTTGTGCATTAACTCAAAGAAAGGGAAAGAAGCTCCTGGAATCCTTCTCTGAATCCTTATGTCTAATACACAACTGCCTCATAAATCAATTGGTGTATTAGTCCATTCTTGCATTGCTATAAAGAAATACCTGAGACTGGGTAATTTATAAAGAAAAGAGGCTTAATTGGCTCATGGGTCTGCAGGCTATAGCTATACAGAAAGCATGGCAGCATCAGCTTCTGGGGAGGCCTCAGGTGTCCACTGTGATGGCGGAAAGTGATGGCAGGGTTTCTCACACGGTGGGAGCAGGAGCAAGAGAGAAAGGGGGGAGGTGCTACACAATTTAAAAGTAACCAGATATCATGATAACTCACTCACTATGCAGTACCAAGGGGGGATCGTGCTAAACCATTTATGAGAACTCTGCCCCCATGATCCAATCACCTCCCACCAGGCCTCACCTCCAACACTGGGGATTACAATTTGACATGAGATTTGGGTGGGGACACAGATCCAAACCATATCAATTGGCCTTTCTGATTGCATGAGATCAGAAGAATGACAAAATACTAATGCCT
The DNA here is from genome assembly GCF_000001405.40 of Homo sapiens. Classification (NCBI taxonomy): domain Eukaryota; kingdom Metazoa; phylum Chordata; class Mammalia; order Primates; family Hominidae; genus Homo; species Homo sapiens. The sequence goes on along the minus strand of NC_000001.11, from coordinate 51,562,055 downwards.
TGTTCACTGGTTCTTTGCTTAGGGAGAATGGAAACCTTGGATCATTGAAAATCCCAATTACCAGGGGGAGTAGATTCATCCCAAAATAGACAACCCTAAATATAAGCCTGACGCCACCATTTGTCACTATTATAACATTAGTGTTCTCAGCCTGGACCTTTGGCAGGTAAAGCCCTCTGAGCTCAGAGCCACTGAGCCACAGTCTCTCAGTTTTCACAAAGTAGAAAGAGCCTCAGGCTGGAAATCACAAGACTTGAATAAGTCTTGGTCTTTATAAGCCTCAGACTGCTGATCTTTTAAATGGGGGCAGTCATAGTCTTCCTAATAATTATAAGTTACTAAAATTTACTGAGTCCCTCTCATGTACCAAATGCTGTATTAAAGACTTTGCATATGCCATTTAATTTTCACTAGCGAGTCTCCTACTTGTTTTTTTTATTTTGGAAAAATTTAATATATTCTCTATTGTTAAGTACACCAGATGCTGGACTTCTGAAACAACAATTGTACTTCAGCATAATTGCATTTTCTACATTTTTTCTGTTCATGTTGCTTGTTCCTCTGATTTACCTAGAATCAGTGAATCTGAAAAACAAAAAGATTCTTTAAGCACCTGGTAAATTTCAGGTCCCACATTAGAAAATGAGCAAGCATCAATAATATTGATGGGGGTGAAAATATGACACTGTGAAAGTCTCCTACTTCTAAATGTGAAAAGGAGACTCAGAAAAGTTAAATAATTTGCCTGAAGACATACATCTGTTAAGGTAAGTAGAAAAGCTAGAATTTAAGTACAGCTCTTTTTGTGTTTGTTTGAGACAGAGTCTCACTTACTCTGTCACCCATGCTGGAGTGCAGTGATGCAATTTCAGCTCACTGCAACCTTTGCCTCCTGGGTTCAAGTGATTCTCCTGGCTCAGCCTCCTGAGTAGCTGGGACTACAGGCATGCACCACTACGCCTGCCTAATTTTTCTATTTTTAGTAGAGACAGGGTTTCACCATGTTGGCTAGGCTGGTCTCCAACTCCTGACCTCAAGTGATCCACCGCCTCGGCCTGGGATTACAATCGTGAGCCACCGTGCCCGGCTGAGTGCAGGTCTTTCTGATGTCAGATTCAAAGTTCCAATACTTTACGCTGCTTCTGCTGGTCCTACGTGATCCTTGGAGGTGCTTCTAGGGATAAAGGGAAATCAGAGATGTGGTAAAACTCTGAAACATTAAAATTCCCGGACAGATGTTAGGGGTGATTGCCCCAGCCATGATGATAAGTCCTGACCCAGCTTCCCTCTCTCTGCCAGTCTTCTTTCCTTTAATTGGAAGGTAAAAAGGAGGGGACCAATACGCCAGCCTTTAAAAAGTTGTTGTCCTCTCCATCTCTTTCTTCTCTGAGACTTATTAAGAAAGATGGGGAGGACTCCTCCCCAAATCAGGAGAAAAGAGAGTGGCTCAAGGCCCCAGAGTAAAGGCCTTGGCCATGATTCCTCCCAGGAGTCTGTTAGAAACTATAATCTACAAAGTCCTGGATGAAGAATTCCCCTGGAGAGGAAGGGAACTCACTTTTGTTAAACACTGGCCTGGGGTGAGTGCTTTACCTACATTACCTCCCCAAATTCTCACAACTCTATAAGGTAAGTACTATTATCCCTTATTATTTCCTCATTTTATGTTTGAGAGAATTGAGACTCAGAAACACCAAGCGACATGTCCAAGAGCACACAGCTAACGCATGGTAGAGACACGATTCAAACATAGGTCTGTCAGCCTCTAAAGCCTTTGCTGTATTGATTACACCCACTGTACAACAGAGCCTCTGGAAGCCACAGCCACCTGTCCTTGGGTATATCCTGCAAAGTCCCATGGCCACGTGTCTCAGTGTCTCTGATCAGTGATTTCTACAGTTCAGAGCCACCGAAGGTTTCTGGGACAGACGCCCTCTATTTGAAGCTTTCTTAGTTTGTTTATTTATTTTCTACTTTATTTATTTATACTTTCTTGCTTCTCTGGCTTAAGAAGACCAACATAGGAGTACAAGGAGGTCATGTATGTAAATAACCAGGAGCATGTGTTGGGGAGTGGGGAAGGGTTCAGAAGAAAAGGAAGGAAGGGAGGAAGGGACACATTGTATCTTTCTTTTCTTTTCTTCCTATCTAATTTGAAGAATGTGGATACACTTTGCATTGTTATTTTTTTTTTACAGTTGTCTCTTTTTAATACATAAGGAGAACTTTCTACATCTTGTAAACATATGTGACCATATTAATATGCCTAATCTGATTATTTCATTAAAATGCTTATCCCCCCACTGAAAACATTAAGGTACACATTTTAAACTGTATCTTTGTTCATATACAAAATTAAAAGTATTTGACACTAATTGCTCTGGGTTCTATCAACCTCTGTAAGCAGGCAAACCTTAGTATTTGAAGAATTTAAACCATGCCAGAGGAGTGCTTCTCAAACTTTAACATGCATATGAATAAAATGGGGGGTCTTATTAAAATACAGATACTGATCCAGTAGGTCTGCAGTGAAGCCCAAGAGACTACATTTCTAAAACTCCAGCATTGTCTCTTAATTTTGTGAGGAGTGTGTGTGTGTGTGTGTGTGTGTGTGTATGTATGTGTGTGTCTGTATTTTAAAGAGACAGAGAGAGAGAGAATTCTGCACAATGCTGACATTACCCTTGCGAGCATGTTTTCTTCTAACTTCTAATCGGGTCTGACACTCACAGGTCCTACTCCACCATCCCCCGCAACCCCCACCCCCACACTCAGCCAGCCCAGAACATCCAGGTTACCATGGGGTCCCTGCCCTTTATTGGAAATCCAAGTGACTCTCAGTATGGAGATGGGTGGGAATTCCCTCACCTTCCCCTGCCCCAATTTCCAGCCTTCAGATGCTCTGGCAGCCCAGATCCCCTCCCCATCCCTCCTTGGTCCCAGCCTAGTAAGATGGTCAACTTTCCTGCCTAATCCCTGACCCCTCCTGTTCCCTGTTCTGACACCTCCAAACACAACCCCTTTACCTTTTTTTCTTTGGTGGAAGTGACTGCATTGTTTTTAGTTGTTGTTGTTTGTTTTGTTTTTTAAATCAGCACAGAGGCTGGGAGGAGATGGTAGAGAACAAAGAAAATTTTCCTCTTACCATTGGGACTCCTTATGATCTTTGAAGGAATGAGTATAGTCTAGCCACAATGAGTATAACCTAGTCATAATGTCATCACCCAATGGGTTCATCTGACCCACTGCCCAGAAAAGCCGGGGCACTGAGAACAGCAAGTTTTCACAACAGAGAGTTTAATAAATGCAGAGCTCACTAAGCGGAAGGATAGGAATTTATTATTACTCATATTAGCCTCTCCGAAAATTTGGAGGCTAGGATTTTTTTAAGGATAGCTTGGCAGGCGGGGTGCTAGGGAATGGGGAATGCCAATTGGTTGGGTGGAGGGTGAAATCAGAGAGTCAAAGCTGTCCTCTTGAGCTGAGTCAGTTCCTGGGTGGGGGTCACAAGACCAGATGAGCCAGTTTATCAATTTGGGTAGTGCCAGCTGCACTCTGCATCAGAATGCAGAGTCGGAAAAATACCTCAAATACCAATCTTAGGTTTTACAATAGTGATGTTATCTATAGGAGAATTGGGGAGGTGGCCTCTGGCTGCATGACTCCTGAGTCATAATTTCTATTTTGTTAGTTTACAAAGGCAGTCTGGTCCCCAAGCAAGGAAGGAGGGGGTTTGTTTTGGGAAGGGGCTGTTATTATCTTTTTTTTTTCTTTTTGAGACGGAGTCTGGCTCTGTCACCCAGGCTGGAGTGCAGTGGCACAATCTTGGCTCACTGCAAGCTCCGCCTCCCGGGTTCACACCATTCTCCTGCCTCAGCCTCCCAAGTAGTTGGGACTACAGGCGCCCGCCACTACGCCTGGCTAATTTTTTGTATTTTTAGTAGAGAGGGGGTTTCACCGTGTTAGCCAGGATGGTCTTGATCTCCTGACCTCGTGATCTGCCCGCCTTGGCCTCCCAAAGTGCTAGGATTACAGGCATGATTTTTTTTTAAATTAGATTATAAACTAAATTTCTCCTATAGTTAGTTTGGCCTATGGCCAGGAATGAACAAGGGCAGCTTGGAGGTTAGAAGCAAGATAGAGTTGGTTAGGTCAGATTTCTTTCACTGTCACAATTTTCCTATGTCAGATTTTTCTCACTGTCATAATTTTTGCAAAGGTGGTTTCAATAATACAAAGCACATTGATATCCCTTACATCATATGGTCTGTGCCATATCCCTGTGAGGCCAAGAGGGTAGGACTTACCGTTGCCATTTTACTGATGAGAACACTGAGGACTCAGCGAGGAGACTTGATTTGTCAGGGCCCATCTCTAACAAGTGCCCAAACCTATACTCTTTACATGTTATTACTCAAGTGGGATAGCACAGGTAACTTTCAATGAATTCCTTAGGGCCTTAGGCTTTAGTCGAACACAGTTCACAGTTCTTTTACAGAGAAGATACAAGTAGACCATGATTACCAGTTAGGATGCAGAACTGGCACTCTCATAGCCCATGAGTTTAATGTAAGGGCAATGGGGGCAAAGGGGCACTAAAAAGACCAGAGAGATTAGGAGTAGTTCTCATGAAAGTAGGGAAAATGGAAAAGCCAACAAATAGGCAGTTCTCCTAACAAGACTGCTGACAACTCAAAAAAATCCCAAAGGTAAGAAAATATCTTAAAGATGCAGAAGGAATTTTAAAAACCAATTGTTAAAAATTGGCTCCTAGCAAAATAGTTATCTCTATTCAAAGTGGCTATTTTATCACTTGTCTTTCTCTTGGAGGCAAGGTTGGTTGGGTAATGTAAGCCAAATAAAAGCCTTTCTTATTAAAAACAAGAAAACTTTTTTGGCCATGAAACAGTAAGGCAGGGTTTTTTGTTTTTGTTTTCAATTTTTAGTTTTTGTGGGTACACAGTAGGTATATATACTTATGGGGTACATGAGATATTTTGATACAGGCATGCAACTTGTAATAATCACATCAGGGTAAATGGGGTATCCATCACCTCAAGCATTTACCCTGTCTTTGTGTTACAAACAGTCCCATTACATCTTTTAGTTGTTTTTAAATGTATAATAAATTACTGTTGTCTATAGCCATCTTTTGTGCTATCAAATACTAGATCTTATTCATTCTACTTAGTTTGAGATATATATATACATATATATGTATATATATACACATATATATGTGTATATATATACTTTTTTTTTGTTTCTTTGAGACAGAGTCTCACTCTGTCATCCAGGCTGGAGTGCAGTGGTAAGATCTCTGCTCACTGCAACCTCCGCCTCCCAGGTTCAAGCATTTCTCCTGCCTCAGCCTCCCAAGTAGCTGGGATTACAGGCATCCGCCACCATGCCCAGCTAATTTTTTGTATTTTTAGCAGAGACAGGGTTTCACCATGTTGGCCAGGCTGGTCTCAAAGTCCTGACCTCGGCCTCCCAAAGTTCTGAAATTACCTAATTATGTTTTTGTACCCATTAACCATCTCCACTACTCATAGCACCCTACCCCCAGCTCCACTCTCACCCTTCCCAGTCTCTGGTAATTATCATTCTGCTCTCTAACTCCATGAGTTCAAGGCAGGGGTTTTTTCAAAGCCTAGGGAGGGACATGGGATTACTCATGCTACAGACTTTCCAGTTGGTTATACAAATACTCCCATGAAATTGACTTCATGATTTATTTAACTTACTGCAAAAGTAAAAAATTATAAAATGACCATCATTTTGCCCTTTTTGAAACATACTCAGGTACTGAAAAGTTATGATAATAGCCACTAGTGTCTATTGGGTGACAATTAACTGCTAGACAGTGTGCTTTACCTATATTATCGCTAAGTCTCATGAAATTACTGTCAGGGAGTTATTATTTTCCCTACTTTACTTATAGGGACTAGGCTTACAGGGATTGAGCAAACTTGCCCGAGATCACACAGCTAGTATGTGGTTGAGCTGGTCTGACTCCATGACTTGTGTTCTTTGTATTCTGTTCCTTTCTCATTCAATAAACAAACATGGAAAATATTACATATGATGGATTTCATTAATCTTTTCCTTCCATTGTAAATATTAAAAATGTTATTTTAAAAAAATAGAGAACTATAGTACATGATCTGCATCGTATAGAATCTGGCTGGGCGCAGTGGCTTACACCTGTAATCCCAGCACTTTGGGAGGCCAAGGCGGGTGGATCATTTGAGGTCAGGAGTTCAAAACCAGCCTGACCAACATGGTGAAACCCTGTCTCTACTAAAATACAAAAAAAAATTAGCCGGGCATGGTGGCACATGCCTGTAATCTCAGATACTCAGGAGGCTGAGGCAGGAGAATCACTTGAACCAAGGAGGTGGAGGTTGCAGTGAGCCAAGATCATGCCACTGCCCTCCAGCCTGGGCGACAGAGCAAGACTCCCTCTCAAAAAATAAAAATAAAATAAAAAAAGAATCTTAAATTCTGCTTGCATTTCTTGTTGAACCTTTTCCTTTTACTATGGTCTTTTAGTTTTTCTGATTAAGGAGAGAACCTTTTTTGTTGCCCAGGCTGGAGTGCAATGGCGCTATCTCAGCTCACTGCAACCTCCAACTCCCTAGTTCAAGGGATTTTCCTGCCTCAGCCTCCCGAGTAGCTGGGATTACAGGCACGTGCCACCATGCCCAGCTAATTTTTGTATTTTTAGTAGAGACAGGGTTTCGCCATGTTGGTCAGGCTGGTCTCGAACTCCTGACCTCAGGATCCGCCCGCCTCGGCCTCCCAAAGTTCTGGGATTACAGGGGTGAGCCACTGCGCCCAGCCACCTTTTTAAAGGCATCTATATGTAAGTATCATCAGAAGTAGGCACTATCAATCTGAGCTGGAGCAAGAGCCAGTGGGCACCAATTTGGAGGCTAGCAGAGTGATAAAAGTTACTTCACAACCTTCTAAAATAGTGTTCAGAGGCATAAGGAGCATAGATTCTTGGGAAACTAAATTAACTTTGTTCTAGAGCAGATCAGCTAGGGCAGTACAGGATTTTGGACCCTCTGTGTTATTAATAACCCTTGTATTTCCTTGTCTAACCCAAATTATTGATTACAACCTCTGGGCCAGTAGCCTGGGAATATGCATTTAGCAAGGGTCTCCAGGTGCTTTTTAAGCCCTTCGACATTTAGGCACCTAGTTTTAATAATCCTGTTGTTTTCACTTCAACAGGTAAAATCTGTCAGCATCTTTGACAATTTCCTTCTTACAAATGATGAAGAGTTTGCTCAAAAAGTTAGAAATAAGACCTGGGGAATGTCTGACTCCTCAGTTGTTCACTATTCTTTGCATTTCAAAAATCAGCCACATAGTCTTTGTCTCATTTTTGGTCACTCGGCCCTGAGAGGTGGGAGAAAGAACTCATGTTCACTGGACATCTATAATTGTGTACTTGTGGCTCTGTCAGCACTTTCCAAACGCTATCCCACTTAGCCCTAAAACAATCCAGCAAGACAGATATTATTACTTCCATTTTTCAGGTGTAGGAACTGAAATTCAGAGTATAAAGTACCCAAAGTCATCCGCAGCCTTTGACTTGTTGAAGTTTTGCCTTCCATTTTGAGTCACAAACTATGAGTCTCTTATATTTTTCTTTATAGTTTTACTCTTCATGTTTATTAAATTTTTAACCGTCTAGAGTCTACTCTTGTATAGGATGTAGAATTGTTGAAATATGTTAATTATACTATCCAAGCCTTGCTGTCTCAGTTTCTGAGAGGAGGATGTTCAAGTCTTCAGCTACAATTATGCATCTGTTTTTCCCTGCAGTTTCTCTCTCTCTCTCCCTCTGTGTGTGTATGTATATGTATTTATATTTATACCTGTATCTGTAAGAGACAGAGTCTTCCTGTGTCTGCACAGAGTGCAGTGGTGTGATTGTGACTCACTGCTGCTTCAAACTCCTGGGCTCAAGCAATCCTCCCACCTTAGCCTCTCGAGTAGCTAGGACTACAGAAGTGCAGAAGTGTGCCACCACATCCAGCTAACTTAAAAACAAATTTTTTTTGGCCAGGTGGGGTGGCTCACGCCTGTAATCCCAACAGTTTGGGAGGCTGAGGCGGGTGGATCACCTGAGGTCAGGAGTTTGAGACCAGCCTGAACAGCATGGAGAAACCCCTGTCTCTATTAAAAACACAAAATTAGCCAGGTGTGGTGGCGGATGCCTGTAATCCCAGGTACTCGGGAGGCTGAGGCAGGAGAATCGCTTGAACACGGGAGGCGGAGGTTGCAGTGAGCCGAGATGCGCCATTGCACTCCAGCCTGGCAACAAGAGTGAAACTCTGTCTCAAAAAAAAAAAATTTTTTTTTAGAGATGGGATCTTGCTATGTTGCCCAGGCTGGTTTCAAACTCCTGGCCTCTCATGCTCCTTTTGTGTGTCAGACTATCTGCTGTAGTGCATTGATCTAGAAGGGAGCTACTGAGCTCATTTTCTTTTTTTTTGTTTGTTTTGTTTTGGTTTTTGTTGTCGTTGAGACAGGGTCTTGCTTCTTGGCCCAGGCTGGGGTGTGGTGGTGAGAATACAGCTCACTACAGACTCAACTCCCCAGGCTCAAGTGATCCTCCTGCCTCAGCCTCCCAAGTAGCTGAGACTACAAATGCATGCCACCATGCCAGGTTAATTTTTTTTAACGTTTTTGTAGAGATGGGGTCTTGCCGTGTTGTCCAGGCTGGTCTGTAACTCCTGGGTTCAAGCAATCCACCTGCCTCAGCCTCCCAAAGTGTTGGGATTACAGAAAATAGGCTCAGGCTCAGGATGGCTACGAGAAAGAAGGAAGGTAATGAGTGCTGTTTGTTTACCAGCTTCCCCGGCCTCCTAGAACTATTTTGTGGGTGGAGTGATACTTGGGGCAATGGCCTCATGACCCTGACAAGCTCTATCCAGATGTTCTGGTTCTGAAGGAAGGTCCATTCAAAAGCAGGTTTGTGGCCAATACTTGATTACCCAATAGGCAGATTAAGCTTATGCTTAAAGCACCTGCAAAAACACAGGCACAAAAAAAAGTTTGTTTTTTTTTTTAAAGAACTTTGATACTTAGTATTTCCTTTAAAAAAAAATGGAAAGACCAGGTATGGTGGCCCACGACTATAATCCCAGCACTTTGGGAGGCTGAGGTGGGTGGATCACTAGGTCAGGAGTTCAAGACAAGCCTGGCCAAGATGGTGAAACCCCACCTCTACTAAAAATAAAAAAATTAGCCGGGCATGGTGGTGGGTGCCTGTAATCCCAGCTACTAGGGAGGCTGAGACAGGAGAATCACTTGAACCTGGGAGGCGGAGGTTGCAGTGAGCTGAGATTGGACCACTGCACTCCAATCTGGGCAACAGCATGAGCCACCGTCTAAAAAAAAAATTGAAGTAGTCATTCTGGGAAAAATTATTAGACCTTGTAATACTTTTTAGTCTGGTTTTGTCTTGTTTTACTTTGGGATTATATCTAAAATTGTTTTGTGAAGGTACTTTTTCATATTGGTTAAGAGTTTGAACTTTGGAGCTAGACTGCTTGAGTTCAAATCCAGGCTCCATTATGTATTAGCTGTATGAACTTAGGCAAGTTATTTAACTGCTCTTCATCTATAAGTGGAGAATAATGATAGCCTCTATCTTATAAGTTCCTGGTATATAGTAAGTGCTCAATACATGGTAGCTATTATTATTAAACCATACATTCACTTGACAAGTACTTGAGTACCTGTTCAAAGCACTGTTGTAAGTGCTGGGGTTATAGTAGTGAAATAAAACAGAGAAGTTTCTACCTTCATGGGGCTTACTTTCAGTTTGAGGAGACCAACAAGAAAAGTATAAGGAAGTCTGAACCTCAGATCGCTCATCTAGAAAGTAGAACAAGTAACAAACCTCATAATTTGCTGTGAGGAATATACATAACGTGTGTAGATTGCCTATTATAGCACTGTGGTTAGCAAGGCAGTAGGCATTCAACAAATATTTGCTAAATTGGAACCAATTTTATTTACGAACAAACTAAACACACACACACACACACACACACACACACACATTTCTATTCACCCTACACATGCTGAAACTTTGTATGTAAATAAACACTATCCCGGAAATCTGAAGACTGTTGGAAGGCTGGACACGGTGTCTCACACCTGTAATCCCAGCACTCTGGAAGGCTGAGGTAGGTGGATCTCCTGAGCTTAGGAGTTCAAGACCAGCCTAAGCAACATAGTGAACCCCCATCCCTATGAAAAATACAAAAAAAAAAATTAGCCAGGTGTAGTGGCATGTGCCTGTAGTCCCAGCTACTCAGGAGGCTGAGGTGGGAGGACCCCTTGAGCCCAGGAGGCGGAGGTTGCATTGAGCCAAGATGACACCATTGCACTCCAGCTTGGATGACAGAGTAAGACCCTGTCTCAAAAAATAAATAAGTAAATAAATAAATAAATAAATAAATAAATGACTGTTGGAAGATGCCAGATATTTCTAAAGTTGGTTAACTTTGTTTATACTATCTGTAAATTATTTTGAAATTCTACATTCTAAACAGGACCTAAGAGAAGCAATGGAGAGAACTTTATGAAGAAATTGAAAAAAGAAAGCAGGCAGAAGAGGCCAAGAAGTAAAAGGAAACGGATGAAGAAAAGGAAGATGGCATTTGGGGAATTGAAGAAGAGGGAAATGAATTGGATCCCACTACAGAGCCAGGAAATGACAGGGAGATGCAGGAACATGATGCTGACAGAGTGTTTCTGGGTAAAAATGAGGAAGTCCTTGTTGACCAGAAGGGTGAACTGTAACTGGGATTGTGGAGGCAAATGTTAGGAGGAGAAATATTCATGAGGTTGGTACAATTTGGGGAGCAAAATAACTTACTTTTTTGAAATAAACTTTGGATTTGTATTTCCATCCCGCTCCCTTTGCTCTGTGTGACCTGGGGAAAGTCACACTGCCTCTTGGGGCTTCTGTTTCCTTATTAGTAGAAAGGGAGTGATCATTTCTGTTTTATGAGGTTGTAGGGATTAAATGAACTAATGTATGTAAAGTGCCTGATACAAATAGGTAGTCAAAAAATGGTTGCTATCACTACTATCATTATTATGGTGTTTATGAAATTAGTTATCAGTAAATAAACTTCTGTATAAACTTAATCCTCACTTTCAATTTATCCCAGGACACCCAAGGATTTTATTTTGTTTAAATGTATGGGGCCAGGCACAGTGGCTCTTGCCTGTAATCCCAGCACTTTGGGAGGCTAAGGTGGGTCGATCACCTGAGGTCAGGAGTTTAAGACCAGCCTGGCTAATGTGGTGAAACCCTGTCTCTACTAAAAATACAAAAAATTAGCTGGGCTTGGTGGCGGGCACCTGTAATTCCAGCTACTTGGGAGGCTGAGGCAGGAGCATTGCTTGAACCTGGGAGGCGAAAGTTGCAGTGGGCCGAGATCGCACAACTGCACTCCAGCCTGGGTAACAGAGCGAGACTCCGTCTCAAAAAATAAATAAAATAAAATAAAATAAAAACGTATGTATTAGTATTTACTGAGCAGTGCTGATGGTTATACTTGTGGACAGATGATGTTTTCCTCTTGCAGATGTATCAAGCACTTAACAACTAGATTTCCCCCTAACATAAGAAAAAATACTTTGTGAAAATCTATTTGCTTTTCTGCTGTTTTGTGCCCTAACTTTTAAATAATTGTCACTTGTTTGCAAGTTTGCTAGTCTCATATTTATTTTTTTCTGTACTACCTGCTCACGTGTCATCATGCACATTCTTGTAGCTCTTTATAGATTAGAAAGCACTTTGCCATAAATTTGTGGAGCTTCTACAATGTGCTCATCTAATCCTCATAGCAGCCATTGTAGAGGATACCATTCTTATCTTCATTTTACAGATGCGGAAACTGCTCAGAGTGGGTAAGTCACTTGCTCAAGGTTAAACAGCTAGTAAGGGACAGGACCAGTCTCTCAAGCTTGTCTGGTTTCGAAGTTTATACTTCCATAAAACAATAACCCTATAAATAACTCTAACAAAGCACTATAAAAGAAAACAGTTTATCCTTCCACTGCACCAGGCTGTGGAATGAGTGAGTGAATATCTATTACTATTGAATACATAAAGTAGGCAACCGACATTCCACATGGAAAAAAAATGCCTTTTTAAGTGCTTTTTGTTTTGTTTTGTTTTGAGACAGAGTCTTGCTCTGTTGCCCAGGCTGGAGTGCAGTGGCACAATCTCAGCTTACTGTAACCTCCACCTCCAGGGTTTAAGCCATCCTCCTGCCTCAGCCTCCCGAGTAGCTTGGGAGTACAGGCGTGTGCCACCACATCTGGCTAATTTTTGTATTTTTAGTAGAGACAGTGTTTTGTCATGTTGGCCAGGCTGGTCCCTAACTCCTGACCTCAAGTGATCTGCCCATCTCAGCCTCCCAAACTGCTGGGATTACAGGCGTAGGCCAGTGTACCTGCCCTTCAAATGTATTTTTAAATGACTATATCCAACAGCCACGGAGTCAGACCCACAGACATGGCTGTCATACAGTTCAGTAAATGATAAGCCAGGGCTCTGGAACATAGCAGGTGCAGGATCTGGAACATAGTAGGTGCTCAGTAAAAATTAGTTGAATAAATGAACAATTTTCTGCCTGGTAGTTTTGGTGGTTTGAGAAAAGACTTCATGAAGGAAGTGAGTTTTGAGGCGGCTCTTAAAGAATGCATGAGTGTGCATCTTTGGGGGAAGGTTAAAAACAAAAAAGAATGCACAAGTCTGCCCAAAGGAGAAGGGGATGTGTGGACCAGATTTCAGAGTCAAAGAGCAGAGCACCAGATGACAGGAAGTAGGGTGGTGAGTTCAGGGAGCAGCAGTGAGAACTTCTTCCTTCCTCCCTGTAGACTGGTGCCTGGTGTGGTTTCTAGACCTTACAACCTTTGGAATATTCTGGTTTGGAAAACTTGACTTTATACCAATTTCTACAGCCTGAGAGTCTTCCTGTTGTGAAAAAGAGCTAAGCTTCAGGGGCTGAGGCTAAATATTTTGTTTTGGGGCTGGAGGACTGGTGTGGATGGTGATTTATATTTTAGGGATGCCAGTCTGATATGAGCATTGTTTACTATAAATGTCTGCTCTGATTGCTCAGATGTATGCTCTACCAATTGTTACATATTTTCAGTATCACCAGATGAAGATATTTTCAGGCAGGATTTTGTAATCCTTGTTTACAGTAAGGATTCATTTGAATATTTTTTAAAGCTGCTGCTCTCACCTTTGATAAATTTTCTTTTGCCTTTTATTTTGATTGACTGTGCATACACTGTTTCAGAAATTATGGTATGCCAGACATGGTGGCCCACACCTGTAATCCCAGGACTGAGGGAGGTCGAGGCAGGAGGATCACTTGAGCCCAGGAGTTCTAGACCAGCCTGGGCAACATAGTGGAACTCCATCCCCACGAAAAAATTAAAAATCAGCTGGGCATCGTGGAGCATGTTTGTAGTCCCAGCTACCCTGAGGTTAGAGGATCGCTTGAGCCCAGGAGATAGAGGCTTCAGTGAGCTGAGATGATGCCACTGCATTCCAGCCTATGCAACAGAGCAAGACCTTGTTTCAAAAAAATAAAAACCAAGCTAGGTGTGGTGGCTCACACATGTAATCTCAGCACTTTAGGAGGCCAAGGCAGAAGGATCACTTGAGCCCAGGAGTTCAAGACCAACCTGGGCAACACAGCAAGACTCTGTCTCTATAAAAAATCAAAATAAAAAAAATCCAAACCAAACAAAAAGAAATTGTAATTTTAACAAGAAAAAAATGCCTGCATAATTCTACCCATTCTGCACATAGACTGAAATTTTTTGTGTTTCTTTCCAGGACACATCTTTTGAACACCACCATTCTGCAACTGAACCATACTCCTCCAGATGATTTTTTTAAAAATTATGATTGTATATTTAATTTTGAAAATTAATAGGTATTCAGTGTAGAAATCTGGAGTCAACATATGTATTAGGAAGAAAGTTAATATTATTATTGTATAATATACAATATTATTATATTTCCTTCCAGTTTTGAGGATTTAATTAATCACACTACTTAGTACATGGTAGTTTATCATCTTTGGTTGGTGACAATGTCACTTCTAAATTTTATTTTATTTTATTTATATATATATATTTGAGATAGGATCTCACTCTGTCATCCAAGCTGGAGTGTAGTAGTGCAATCTTGGCTCCCTGCAGCTTCGACCTCCTGGGTTCAAGGCAATCCTCCTACCTCAGCCTCCCAAGTAGCTGGGACTACAGCTACAGCTGCACACCACCATGCCCAGCTAATTTTTGTATTTTTAGTAGAGATGGGGTTTCGCCATGTTGCTCAGGCTGGTTTCAAACTCCTCGGCTCAAGTGATCCACCTGCCTTGGCCTCCCAAAGTGCTGGGATTCACAGGTGAACCACCGTGCCCTACCTATTTGTCCATTTTTTTCTCTTTTATTCCTTTTCTGTTTCCCACTTAGATAATTAAGTTTTATTTAAAGTGTCTGTTATTTTTATTTGTATCTGTTCTTATAAAAAGTGAATTTTTGTTTTGTATTAATACATTTTTAATTTCTGCAAATAACATCATGTTTTAATCGCATTTTTTCTTCATATTTTTCACTGAGCACTGTTTTAAAATGCCTTCATCTTGCTGTGTATGCATCTAATCCATTGCTTTTGATTGTTGCATAATATTTTACAATACAACATCTACCACATTTTAGCTATCTCCTCTCCATATGATAACCAGGTTGTCTTTGAATCCCTATGACCATAAATAGCACACAATAAATATTTTAATGCAGAACCCCTATGTGCCTGCATAAGAATTTCTTTGGGATATATCCCAGGAGTCTAACTGCAAGCTCATAGAGTGTATGAGTTCTGAATTTGCATACTTCATGTCAGATTGTGATCCACAGTGGCTGTACCAGTCCATACACCCACCAGAGTTCCAGCATCCCCACAACTCCACCAGCTGGCATTATCAAGCATTCTAATTTCTGTAGCTTAGTAGATGTAAAAGGATAGTACGTTGCTGATTTAATTAGCATTTCTGTGGTACTTTGGGCATCTCTTCATATGCCTTTTGATTTTTGGAATTCCTCTCTGTTTATATCTTTTTCTCTCTTTTTTTGGTGATAATGTTCATGCCAACTATTTGTATGTTTTGCTTTTATTTTTTCCTAAGGTTTGCTGCCCTCTTATTTATTTACCAGTTTTGTGTGTTGCGTATTTTGAACATATTCTCCCATTCTCTTATCTAGTTATGTTGTGTTTTTTGTTTTTTTTTTTTGAGACAGAGTCTGGCTCTGTCGCCCAGGCTGGAGTGCAGTGGCACGATCTCGGCTCACTGCAAGCTCCGCCTCCCGGGTTCATGCCATTCTCCTGTCTCAGCCTCCTGAGTAGCTGGGACTATAGGTGCCCTTCATCATGCCTAGCTAATTTTTTGTATTTTTAGTAGAGACAGGTTTTCACCGTGTTAGCCAGGATGGTCTCGATCTCCTGACCTCGTGATCCACCCGCCTCGGCATCCCAAAGTGCTGGGATTACAGGCGTGAGCCACCGCGCCCAGCCATGTTGTCTTTTATCTAGTTATTTTGTTCAACAATCTTCTTTGTTGAACAGAAATTCTTAATTTTAATGTCATTATATTCATCAATATTTTTGTCTTATAGCCTGGTGTGGTGGCTCACACCTGTAATCCTAGCACTTTGGGAGTCCAAGGCAGGCAGATCGCTTGCGCTCAGGAATTCGAGACCAGCCTGGGCAACATGGTGAAACCCCATCTCTACAATAAACACAACAAATTAGCCGAGCATGGTGGCTGATACCTGTAGTCCCAGCTACTTGGGGGCTGAGGTGAGAGGATCGCTTGAGCCCAGGAGGTTGAGGCTGCAGTGAGCTGAGATTGCGCCACTGCACTCCAGTCTGGGTGACAAAGTGAGACCCTGTCTCAAAAAAAATTGTCTTACAGTCTGTGCATTTGAAGTTTTGCCTTTCCTTTTCAGTCACAAACTATAATTATCTCATATTTTTCTTTGTTAGTTTTTCACATTTATTATGTTTTTAACCCTCCTAGAGTCTACTCTTATACGATGTAGAATTGTTGACATATGGTAATTATACTATTCAAGCCTTGATATATCAGTTTCTGAGAGAGGGATGTTAAAGTCTTCAGCTATAATTAAGCATCTCTTGATTTTTCTCTGCAGTTGTTTTGTGTGTGTGTTTGTTTGTGTGTAGCTGGAATACAGTGGCATGATCATGGCTCACTCTGGCCTCAAACTCCTGCACTCAAGCGATCCTCTCACCTCAGCCTCCTGAGTAGCTAGGACTACAGAATTGTTCCACCATGCTGGTAAATTTTTATTTTATTTTTTATAGAGATGTGGTCTTGCTATGGTGCTTGTCTTGAACTCCTGGCCTTAAGTTATCCTCTCACCTCAGCCTCCCAAAGCACTGGGATTATAGGTGTGAGCCACTGCACCTGGCTCAGTTATGTTTATTTTTTGAAACAGGTGGGACTGTAGCTGGGACTACAGGTGTATGCCACCACGCCTGGATAATTTTTTTATTTTTTATTTTTAGTAGTGACAGAGTTTCGCCATGTTTGTCCAGGTTGAGTTCTGTATATTTTAAGACTGTATGATTAGGTGCATCTGTGTGTTTTGCCTGTTGTATCTATGTATTTGTCTATTGTTCCTTTTAAGAAAAAATAATGACTTTCCATCTCATCTTTTGAAACTAAAATTCCTCTTTGACAGATAATAAGATCGCAACCCAGTTCACATTTGCCTGGTTTATCTTTCTTTTTATTTTTAATCTATCTCTTTAAGTATGTCTCTGGGTCGGATGTGGTGGCTCACGCCTGTAATCCCAGCACATTGGGAGGCCAAGGCAGGCAGATCACTTGAGGTCAAGAGTTTGAGACAAGCCTGGCCAACATGGTGAAACCCTGTCTCTACTAAAAATACAAAAATTAGCCAGGAGTGGTAGTGGGCACCTGTAATCCCAGCTACTTGGGAGGCTGAGGCAGGAGAATTGCTTGAGCCTGGGAGGTGGATGTTGCAGTGAGCCGAGATCAAGCCACTGCACTCCAGCCTGGGTGACAGAGTGAAACTCCATCTCAAAAAAAAAAAAAAAAAAAAAAAAGCATGTCTCTTAAAGTTAGTTTACTGTTGGATGTAATTTTTAAAAATCCCATTGGTGAGATTCACTTTTTTACATTTAATGTTATTATTATATATTAAGATTTAGTTCTATCCTCCATTTACTCTACATTCTTTTTTTATTTTTAATCTCCATTTCTGCTTTCCATTGAATAGGCTGAATTATCTTCTGCTGGTTTAAAATTTATACATAATTTTTTTCCTTATGGTGGTAGCCCTTAACTTCAGACTCACACCCATGGGCTTAAGAGAGCTTCTCTCTCTCAACAGTTTGAACAAAAGCCTACACGAAAGTTCCAAGCTTGATTCTCAAAGAGTCAAGTGTTATGTGTTCACGCTGATCGAATCAATGTTGCTGAAGCAAGGGTTATTTGATCTTCAAAGGAAACACAGAGTACCAGTCCCAAAAGAAGGGAAATGGAGGCTAAGAGATCGTAAAATGGTATATGTCCACATCTTTCTTTTTTTTTCCTTCAGAGATTCAGTCTTACTATGTTGCCCAGGCTGGACTCAAACTTTTGAACTGTCAAGCTCCTGGTTCAAGTAATCCTTCTGCCTCAACCTCCCAAGTAGCTGGGGTTACAGGTGTGTGCCACCACAGCTAGCTTCACATCTTCTCTCATATGAAATAAACTCCTTTGAGCCTCAGTTTCTTCATCTGTGAAATGGCAATGATAATACCTATCTCCAAGGGGTGATATGAACAGCAAATTGGGTAACAGATATGAATGTTCCTTGTGAATCATCAAGTGCTACGCAAAGTTTAGTCATTATTCTCACTCTTGCATTCATCACATGGTATTATTGACATTTGTTTAGGTGTTGGTATTTATCTATAATGCTGCAAGGGAAGTATTGTCCTAGCCAGCATTCTCCCTAAAGTGTGCTGATGGACGTAGAATTGATTTTCATTTCTTGAGAATAATGAGTGGGCATGATGTCAGCACTATGTTTGACCTAGGGGTCAGTTTCCTTCCAAAGAGGTCTACAGTGCTGAGGCAGCTAACTTACTAGCAGACTGGCCAGACTGCACACAGCTGAAAGCTTGGCTCCAGTTTCTTCTCTGCTTTGAGTTAGATGTGTGACTTTTGCCAGGTCACTTAAACTCTCTGAGCCTCAAAGTTGAGGCCAGGCGCAGTGGCTCACGCCTGTAATCCCAGCACTTTGGGAGGCTGAGGCGGGTGGATCACGAGGTCAGGAGATCAAGACCACCCTGGCTAACACGGTGAAATCCCGTCTCTACTAATGATACAAAAAATTAGCCGGGCATGGTGGCACGTGCCTGTAGTCCCAGCTACCCAGGAGGCTGAGGCAGGAGAATCGATTGAACCCAGGAGGTGAAGGTTGCAGTGAGCTGAGATGGCGCCACTGCACTCCAGTCCGGGGGCCAGAGTGAGACTCCGTCTCAAAAAAAACAAAAAAACCTCTCTGAGTCTCAAAGTACTTGCCTGAAAAATGGAGGTTGTAAGAAGACCTGCCTCTTAGAGTTGTGGTAGGATTAAGAAGATTATATGCAAAAGGCCTTGGCCTAGGAGAAGATCTCAAGTTTATCAGACACAAATTCAAATCTCTTTATTGGGCATTTACTAATTTCCATCCTGATGCATTAAGACTAGTTTAAGTGCACGTTCTTTCTCATCTCTGAGATACAATAAATTGATCTGTTTCCTTGGAGAAATGGTTATTTCTCTCCAGGCCTTATGTTTTCAGAATTTGGACCAGGAATCCTTGCCCCAGGATTACAGTCTCACAAGAAAAATCCTGTTTCTTATAGGCACCTGGAGTTGATAATTCTGCTTCTTTTTACACATGAAGGATTTAGTTTCAGACTATACTGAAAGATAGTGTATATCTGCTCTGTTTACTGAAATAGGTTTGCCCTCTATGTGATTGTTCATAAACCTACAATAATCCCATGAATTAGGCCCTGATATCCCCATTTTACCGATAAGGAAGTGGAAGTTCACATAAATCAAGTGACAAAATCAAGCTGATCATGAAAAGGGAGGTGGGCTTTGGAGTCAGACAGACCTGAGTTAGGATTCCAGCACTGTATTTACTAGATTTTGAACTTTGGTCCAGTGACCTAGTTTCTTAAGTTTCAGTGTCCTCATCTGTAAAGTTGGGATTATAATAACATATACCTTACATGCATGTTGTGAGGTTGAATTGAGAGAGTATGTATAAAGTAGAGTGCCTGGCACATGGTAATTATTCCATAAATTCTTAGACACTTGATAATTATACTGGGAGCCCAGAGCCCATAGAACCTACCTATCGAGTGCTGCCTTATAGGAAACTTCAATTATCATCAAGCTGTTTTAGAACTTTTCACTGGCCGTTCAAATGGTTGCCCTTAAAAATCCCTTGAGCTGTGATTCAAGATTAAAGTCCCAGGTAGGAAATGAGGGCAACAAGATATGTATAGTGAAAGGAGACCTTGCGTGGGAGTCTAGAGATCTGGGATGTAATGATGACTCTTACTCAGTGTGTGTGGGACCTTAGGCATAGCACTCTATCTTCCCAGCCTCAGTTTTATTATTTGTTAAATGGAAACTACTCTTTACCTCACTGGAGGTATAAATGCAGATGGATAAAAATGCTCTTTTTGCAATTTTAGAAAGGCTGTATATGCCAGGTGCAGTGGTTTAAGCCTGTAATCCCAGCACTTTGGGAGGCCAGGGTGGATGGACTGCTTTGAGCTCAGCAGTTTGAGACCAGCCTGGGCAACGTGGTGAAACCCCATCTCTACTAAAAATTCAAAAACTAGCTGGGCATGGTGACATACACCTGTAGTCCTAGATACACAAGAGGCTGAGGTGGGAGGATGGCTTGAGCCTGGGAGGTAGAGGTTGCAGTGACCTAAGATCGTGCCACTGCACTTCAGCCTGGGTGACAGAGCCAGACCCTGTCTCAAAAAATAAAAAAAAAAAGGCTGGGTAAATGTGAGTGCTTTCAATTTGTGTTTACTATTCTCCCCAGAGGGAGAGTAAACTGGACTCGACCATAACCTGAGACCTTCCTCCCAGAGAGCAACTACTGGGAAGCCCAGCCCTTAAGTGAGGCCTTGTTAACTATTTGTTGCTTCTGCTGCAACAACTTTTGCTCAAATATCAGTCACCAAGCCTGCTACATCCTCATCCTTGCAGAAAGGCAGCACTATGCTGACCATCCCCACCCACAGCCTTCTCTAACACAGCTTCTGGACTAAGACTGGGAATATGACCCAAAGGCAAGCAACCCATGGGCTTGCCAATGACCTACAAATGTGTCTTGGCTCCTAAAATATGAGTTGGACAAATCAATATTTCTCTGTCAGGAATTTGAATCAGGCAGCATGAGGTGATTGAGGCAATTAGCAGCAATAAAAACTATGACTAACAGGATGTAAAGAGAGAGGCCATGAGTTTGAGTAGGGGTATGTGTGGGAGGAGATGGAGTGTAGATGATGACAAACCAAAGTGATAAAGAAGCAGAAATTATGAATGAACAGATCTATGAAGTAGAAAAGATAATATATGGATAGACAACAGATATTTCTAGAGTTCCTTCTATGAGCTGGAAACTGTGTTTGGCTCTGAACATAATGAAAGTGACTAAGACTCAGCCTCTGCCTTCACAACACTTAATTTTAGTGGGGAAGAGAGACAAACAAGCAAACAAACAAATAAATAATTACAATTTTTTTTTGAGACAGAGTCTCACTCTGTTGCCTAGGCTGGAGTGCAATAGCATGATCTTGGCTCACTGCAACCTCTGCCTCTCGGGTTCAAGCGATTCTCCTGCCTCAGCCTCCTGAATAGCTGGGATTGCAGGTGCGCGCCACCATGCCTGAGTAATTTTTTTTTTGTTTTTTTTTTTTGAGATGGAGTCTCATTCTGTTGCCTAGGCTGGAGTGCAGTGGCGCTATCTTGGCTGACTGCAGCCTCCACCTCCCAGGTTCAAGCAATTCTCCTGCCTCAGCCTCCCAAGTAGCTGGGATTACAGACGCCCACCACCCCACCTGGCTAATTTTTGTATTTTTAGTAGAGACGGGGTTTCACCATGTTGGCCAGGCTGGTCTGGAATTCCTGACCTCAAGTGATTTGCCCACCTTGACCTCCCAAAGTGCTGGATTACAGGCGTGAGCCACCACACCTGGCCAACAAAAAAAATTTTTTTTTTTTTTGAGACAGAGTCTTGCTCTGCGGCCAGGCTGGAGTGCAGTGGTGCTATCTTGGCCCACTGCAACCTCCACCTCCCAGGTTCAAGTGATTCTCCTGCCTCAGCCTCCTGAGTAGCTGGGACTGCAGGCGTGCGCCACCACGCCCAGCTAATTTTTTTTTTTTAGTAGAGATGGGGTTTCACAATGTTGGCCAGGATGGTCTTGCTCTCTTGACCTCGTGATCTGCCCACCTCGGCCTCCTAAAGTGCTGGGATTACAGGCATGAACCACCACGCCCGGCTAACAAATTGTTTTAAAGGCTAAGAAGAAAACAAATATGGGGCCAAGATGGAACATATCAGGGAGGGTCACTAATGATCTTGGCAGGAGTAGGGAGGGACCTACTTAAGAAATAGCATGATTCTAATTAATGGTGTCCAGCTTTAAAAAAAAAATTTAAAATAATAATTAAAAAAAGCAATGGGAGGGAGAGTCTCTCTGGACAGAAAATTAAAATGAGACCTAAAGAATGAGAAGGATCCAGCTGTGTGAAGATCAGAGAAAACAATATTTGACATTTCTCAGAATAGGGGATTTAAAAGAAAAAAAGAAGAATACTTGAGATAGAGGATGTTTAAGGCCTGCTGGCAGGAAAGAGCTTATCATGTTCAAGGAAGATGATGGGGGTTGCGGTGTGAAAGCCATGTGGATGGAGCAAAGGAAAAGAAAAGGAAGCATGAGATGAGTTTGGAGATACAGGCAGACGATAGATCACACAGGCCTCTCTAGGCCTTGGTAAGGAGTTGGGAATTTAGTTCCAGTGTAGTGAGAAGCCATCAAATATTTGATGCTAGGTAGTGACATGATCTAGCATAGTGTGGCAGATAAGCTTGAAGGCTAAGAAGTCAACCTGGGTTCAAACCTAAGTTCTACCATTTACTGGCTGTGTGCCCAAGGCTGTGTGACCTTGGGCAAATTTCTCAATCTCTCTCTGCCCTAGTTTCCTTATCTGTAAAATTGAGGTAGATTTGGGTTTTACTTCATGGAGTTGTTGTATAGATTAGATACATGTAAAACAGTTCCTGGCACATAATAGACACTAATAAATGTAAGTTCGTATTATTATTTTGTTTTTAGAAAGGTCATTGTAGCTGGTGTATGGAGAATGAATGTGGGGGCATAAAAGGAAGAGGGTAAAGAATAGGTGAGGGGAGGCCAGTTATGAGGCTTATGAGTAGCCTGGGTAAGAGATGACGAGTGAAGTGATGGTGGTAGACACAGAGAGAAATGGACTAATTTCACATAATTTTGGAGGTAAAATTTTCATATTTTGCAGATGGACTGGACATGGGGGTTGAGGAAAATGGAAGAATCAAGAATAACTTCTAAGTTTCTGGCTAGAGTAACCGGGGGATGGAAGTGACATTTACAGAGATTAGGACTCGAGGCGAAGCAGGTTTGGCAGGGAAATTAGGAGTTCTATTTTAGATATGTTAAACCTGAGATGTCTTAAGACATCCAAGTGGATGTCTATTAGACAGTTGGTTACACATTTTGGAGACCAGAAGAGAGGTCTGGGAAAAAGATGTAAATTTGGAAGTCATTAGCATGATCAGCATTTGAAGACAAAGAAATAGTTGAGATCATCTAGGAAGAGAGTCTGCAGAGAGAAGTGAAGAGAGCCAAGAAGAGTCCAGAGGATTTTAGGGTGGTGGAATAGACAAAGAGAGTGAGGACAGACCTGCGAAGAGAGAGTAAATCAGCAGAATGTGGTATCACAAAAACCAAGAGACGAGAAAGTTTCAAGAAAATTGGAGAGGTCAGCTGAGTGGAAAGGTCAAATAAGACTAAAGAAAATATTGGACACTGATGATCTTGGCAGTAGTAGGGTCAGTGAAGTGGGTGGTCTAAGTAAGAATTAAATAAGTTGAAGAATGAATTAGAGGTGTGCTTGCTTTGACAGCATATTTACAAAAAAAAAGGAACAATACAGAGAAAATTGGCTTGACTCCTACACAAGGATGACACATCTGTGAAGCATTCTATATGCCTTTTGTATAGATTTTAATTTTGTGACAATGTTTACCTTTACATATTTAAAAACGGAATTAAATAAACAAGAATGGAAGGGATCCTAAAACTGAATATAAACAGAAACAAGTGAACCAAACTATATTTAAATAAGTAATATAATCACTCTGAAGGAAAAAAAATGAATCTAAATACTTTTGAACATAGTACTTGAATATACAGCTTTTGTCTAAAAACAAAACAAAACTGCAAACAAATCTTGAACCCTGTTTAGTAGATTGTTTTTGTTAGCAGAATGGATGTAACAATTCTATTTTGTGTCTATCTTGTTTATTTATTTATTTATTTATTTTTGAGATGGAGTCGTGCTCTGTTGCCCAGGCTGGAGTGCAGTGGCGTGATCTTGGCTCACTGCAACCTCTGCCTCCAAGGTTCAAGTGATTCTCCTGCCTCAGTCTCCCTAGTAGCTGGGATTACAGGCATGCACTACCATGCCCGGCTAAATTTTGTATTTTTTAGTAGAGATGGGGTTTCGCCATGTTGGCCAGGCTGGCCTCGAACTCCTGACCTCAAGTGATTTGCCCGTCTTGGCCTCCCAAAGTGCTGAGATTACAGGCATGAGCCACCATGCCCAGCCTATATCATAATTTTAAACAAATGAATAAAGACATTGATGTTGTTGAGAGCCAGAGTTCTTACTGTGGGAAAAGGGAGATGCAAATAAGGAATAGGAGAAAGAACCCTGTGGTGTTAAATTGGAATTAAAGTATCAGTAATGAATTATTAATTTAAAATGGTTGACCAGAGCTGGGTGCAGTGGCTCATGCTTGTAATCCCAGCACTTTGGGAGGCCAAAGTAGGAGGTTCACTTGAGGCCAGGAGATTGAGACCAGCCTGGGCAACATAGTGAGACCCCATCTCTATAAAGAATTTAAAAATATTAGCTGAGTGTAGTGGCGTGTAGTCCTAGCCTATTCCAGGGGCTGAGGTGATCTCAGGAGTTCATATCTGCAGTGAGCTATGATAGCATCACTGCACTCCAGTCTGGGCAACAGAGTGAGACCCTGTCTCTGTTAAAAATAATTATAATAATAATTAAACAAAATTAGGTTACTATTTTTCCCCTTTGGCTCTGTTTACTAAAATGGCCTAGAAGCAATTACACTCCAATAGGAATGAGCACATCTGATGCCCAAATCTTGGTTTCTAAATACCATTCCCCACTAAAGAGTAGCTCTTTGGAGAAATGGCTGATTTTCAGGACTAGGCAGTGAAAGTACAAGATAAGCCTGGAACATCTTATTATGCCAGAAAGCAAGGAGGTGTTAAAAAAAAGTGATGAAGACATGTCAAAAGGACACAGGAGCTAGTTTGAAGAGGCTCTCATTGGCCAAACCTGGGACAAGTTGAACATTTAAAAAATAATAAGGGTAATGTTTATAACTCATTAAATAAATTAAGAATACATTAGTTTATACTCATGATAATAATTAGAGAGAAGGAAACCTTCTTGCTTACAGTAGAATGCCAACTAAAAAATGTAGATGGAATGATAGAAGTAGAAAATCACCAGTTTGCAACTATCACAGTAATTGATTCAGACAAGAATTATCAATGAGTGTTGAAACCATTGGGCAAAAGTTTGAAGAGGAACAGGATATTTACATAGTTTCAAAGTCCCTCTCTACAGATTACCATTACTTACACAGGAAAAAATACTCTACAGTGAAGAAATCTGGTAGATACCACCTTAATCCGCTGATCAAAGTGAACACCATCAATAATGGGACCAAGTGACACCACGTTTCTCCCCATATGATGCACTGAGAAGGACACAACATCATATAACTAGGATTTCTTCCTGGAAAAATATGTAAATCCCTTCATGAGAAAACATGAGACAAAGCCAAACAGGGGGAGACACTACAGAACACCTGGCCAGTACTCTTTAAAAATGTGAATATCGTGAATAATAGTGAAAGACTGGGGAACTATTCTAGATTAAAGGACACTAAAGAGTTATAACAGGCTAGGTGTGGTGGCTCACACCTGAAATTCCAGCACTTTGGGAAGCAGAGACAGGAAGATCACTTTGAGGCTGAGAATTATAGGCCAGTCTGGGCAACATAACGAGACCCCACCTCTACAAAAATAATTTTTTAAAAAATTAGCCAGGCATAGTGGTGCGTGCCTGCGGTACTAGCTAGCTAGTCTGGAAGCAGGGGTGGGAGGATCGCTTGAGCCCAGGAATTCAAGGTTGTAAGTGAGCTGTAATTGAACCACTGCCCTCCAGCCTGGGTGACAGAGCGCGATCCTGTTTCTAAAAAATAATAATTAAAAGAAAAAAAACCTTTTTAAAAGTCATGACAGTTAAGTATAATGCATTACCTGGATCAGGCACTGGATCAGAACCTGATGGGGGAAAATACTGCTATATAGGACATTATCAGGCCAATTAGTGAAATTTGAGTATGGACTGTATATAAGCACTATGTCAATTTAAAATTTCTGGATTTGATTGTCATACTGAGTGGGTATGTAGGTATATAAGAGAATGTCCTTTTCTCAGAAAATACACATTGAAATATTTAAGGTATTAGGGGTAACTACTGCAATTCAAATGGCTCAGGAAAAAATATACATATCCATGTATATGCATGTAGGCATATGCCCACACATGAGAACTTCTGGGGCATCTGGGAATTCTTTGTAATATTTCTGCAGCTCTTCTGCAAGTTTGAGATTATTTCAAAGTAAAAAGTTAAAAAATAAAGTGTAAAGGTGGGCACGGTGGTTCATGCCTGTAATCCCAGCACTTTGGTAGACAAGGGCGGCGGGGTGGGGGGTTAACATTTGAGGTCAAGAGTTCGAGACCAGCCTGGCCAACATGGTGAAACTCTGTCTCTACTAAAAATATAAAAATTAGCCAGGTGTGGTGGCATCCTCCTATAGTCCCAGCTACTTGGGAGGCTGAGGCAGGAGAATCACTTGAACCCATAGGCAGAGGCTGAAATGAGCCAACATCAGCCCAATGCACTCCAGCCTGGGCGACAGAGTGAGATTATTATTTTGTTTTTAAAAAAAAATAAAAAGTAATAATAATAATAAAGCA
Organism: Homo sapiens; assembly: GCF_000001405.40. Classification (NCBI taxonomy): domain Eukaryota; kingdom Metazoa; phylum Chordata; class Mammalia; order Primates; family Hominidae; genus Homo; species Homo sapiens. The sequence continues at coordinate 51,535,533 of NC_000001.11, read as the reverse complement.
TAGATGAAGAAATAGAAACAGTATGGAGATAACTCTTTAGAAAATTTCACTGTGAATGGGAGCAGAGAAATGGAGCCAAAAATAGAGTCAGGGTCATAAGATAGCTCTTTAAAGACAGAAGAAACTAGGTTTGTTCACTGATCAGAGAACCAAGGTGGACTTCAGTCTCTCCCTTTCAAGACGAGGGGCTTAGATCAGACATCCTGTAAGGGCCTTTCCACCTCAGGCCCTTTGTGACTCTATGACTCTCCTACCCTCTCCTAGATGCCTAGAGTTCTTCTGAAAACATGTTTTATTCCTTAAACTGCAACCAGGAAAAGACATTTGGGCCACCACCACTTGAGGGCAGTAGAAAATGATGCTGCACGCAATTTGGTGGTTTTATTGTTTTGGCTGCTGGAAGAAAACAAAGGCCTTCACATGATTTACCCTCAAATGTCTTAGGGCAAATAAAGGTCCCGTGAACACACCACTTTTTCCAAATGTTTTAAACAAGAAAAGCCCAAGATAAGTTATAACAGGGGGTTGAGGAGTAAGAGGGTGAGAGGGTCTCACATCTTGAAAAAAGCTGGCACATACTGTAAGTTTAATAAAGAATAACTGATAACAGAAAAATTAGAGCCTGTCAGAATTGAAAGGGATCCTAGAGGAGGATGAATAGAGCCCCTTCGTTTTATAGGCAGGACCCTGGGTCCAGAGGAGAGAAGGGGCTTGCCCAAAGACACAGTGACATGGTAGAGAAATTAATGGTTTCAATACTTATCTGGCTAGCCTGTGAAGAGAGAGATTCTGATATTTTCAAATGACATAATAAACGTCACTTGCAAAAAGCGTGGCCCCATCACTGGTATTGGTACTGAGTTCTGAAAACACTGTGACAACACAGTTGTGAGGCTGTGTCTCTTGTGGCTTCCTCTCCCTGGGAGGATCTGACTGTTCACCTTTAATTCTTATCCACTTCAACGGGTCTGAATGCCCTGGACAGCATAGTTCTGATCCTATCCAACCCACTCCTCACCCCTTTCTGAGAGGAGCTTCAGACTGCTGAGGGATCTTAGACTTTCCTACCAACATCAGGGGATGAAGTTGAAGGCCATTTGGAAAAAAAAGTGAATGAGCATGTGACAGAACATTATTTGGAAAGAAACAACATTATCATTGCCATAGAGGGGAGATGATCTTAAAAAGACAATCAGAAAATCCAAAGCATAAAACTTCCCTAATATGACTTAAGGACATGATGGAGAATAAAATTACTAGACTGTTCAAAACAAAAAAACCAGTATGACTTCATAACATGATAAACAGCTGGGAGCATTTTTTTTTTTTTGAGATGTAGTCTCACTCTATCGCCCAGGCTGGAGTGCAGTGGCACGATCTCAGCTCACTGCAAACTCCTCCTCCCGGGTTCAAGTGATTCTTGTGCCTCAGCCTCCTGAGTAGCTGGGACTACAGCATGTGCCACCACTCCCCGCTAGTTTTTATATTTTTAGTAGAGATGGGGTTTCACCATGTTGGTCAGGCTAGTCTCGAACTCCTGACCTCATGATCCACCTGCCTCGGCCTCCCAAAGTGCTGGGATTACACGTGTGAGCCACTGCGCCCAGTCAGCATCAATTATTTAGAATAATAACCTCTAACCCCTAACCTCAGTATTATCTATTCCTCTGCAAAAAAAAAAAAAAAAAGAAAGAAAAAAGAAAAAACAAAAGAAAAAAAAATGCCCAGGCATTAGCCTGGCATTCAAAAATCCCTTGCCTGTTCCAGATAATTTTCTAGTCTCATGTCCTGCCATAGCTCCCACCCTGCACTCCAACCTCTGTTTTCTGAGCACTCATTGCAATGGTGTAACTGTGAACATTTATTCAGGCCATGTGCTGCATTTGCTCCATTTTGAGGCTCGATTCAAATGCCACCTGCTTTGGAGGCTTTCCTTGATCTGACCCTTACGTTTACTCGCAGATTCCTTTTGACTCCCACAGCCATTTCATCTACTTCCCTCTTTTTTTTTCTTTTCTTTCTCTTTCTTTCTTTTTTTTTTTTTTTTTGAGACAGAGTCTTGCTCTGTTGCCCAGGCTGGAGTGCAGTGGTGCAATTTCCACTCACCGAAACCTCCGCCTCCTGGATTCAAGTGATTCTCCTGCCTCAGCCTCCAGAGTAGCTGGGACTACAGGCATGCACCACCACGACCAGCTAATTTTTTGTATTTTTTTTAGTAGAGATGGGGTTTCACCATGTTGCCCAGGCTGGTCTCGAACTCCTGAGCTCAGCCAATCCACCCACCTCAGCCTTCCAAAGTACAAGGATTACAGGCGTGAGCCACTACACCCAGCAGCATGTACTTCTCTTTAATATTTATTTCATTCTGTCTTGTCTTTCCCATCACAGAGTGAGCACTTAGAGGGCATGAACTGGGTCTTAATACTATGATTTTTTTAGAGGTTGCTTCCAGTTATTAATAAATATCTACCATTTATTAATTACCAATTAATAATTACCAATTATTACCAATTACCAATTAATTACCAATTACCATTTAATTACCAATTACCATTTAATAATTACCAATTATTAATAATAATCTAACAATAATTTTACTTATCTTTCTAAATCTCCTGTTTCTCAGCTCACTCCTTCCAACACCCTGACTCCAACACTTCTCTGATCCCTTCCTGGGCCTTATAATCCAGTGATCCTAATATCTCTTCACCATTCCTCAACTATCTTGTGTCCTCACTTCCCTTTTTACCCACCTAAATTCCAAGGTCCAATGTTAAAATCACTCCCTTGATAGGTCCTCTTCTCTCTTGCCTCCTCTTGCATTCTCATTTTGCTTCACAAGATCCCTACCCTGCACAATCTAACTCTACCTACTCTCTGCCTTTGGGAAAGTGGATGAAGAAAAACCCACAACTGTGTCAACTGGACTCTTAAAATTCATCGCCACTGACCTCAAGTGGGCTTTTAGTGCTACCTGGGAATCATACTACATTTTCAAGTCCATCCACTTTTCCTAAATGCTTATTTCGTAACTTTTTTCAAACTTTTCATATCCTCTCCTTTTTCCTCCCTCTCAGCAGATAACCCATCCACCTGCATCCATGCCCACATACTCAGCCCTCTTCGGTATTCTCAAAGCCAATTCTTTCCCCTGCACTCCAGCAATTCCCTCTCTTGCTTGTATCATCAGTGATTCCTCTTCTACCAGATCATTCCGTTCACTTTCTAAAAAATGCTGCATTATTGCTCACCTTAAGAAAAGAAACCTCTCTTGACTCTGTATCCCTTACTAGGTATTCACACCATTTCTCTGCTCTTCATTTCAGCTAGACATTTCTAGAGAATTATCTGTTTTTCTTGACTCCAAGTCCTCTCTTTTCATTCTCTCCCGAGCCTCCTCTAATTATACTTTTCTTTCACCTTCCCCTGAAACGATTACCAAGGTCACCAAAGACTTCCACATTGCTAACTCTGGATATTAATTGCAATCCTCATCTAACTAGCTCTTTGATAAGATTTGACATGCTTTCTCACTCCTTCCTTCCTTGCTCCTTCCTGAAACACATTGCTCATTTGGCTCAAGGACAGACATCATACTCTCCTGGTTTTCCTCTAAGCTCAGCTGCTCTTTCTTTGGTCTCCTTTACTAGTTCCTCTTCATTTCCCTGAGTCCTAACATTGGAGTGGCCCAGGGCTTGGTAGTTGGACTTCTTGGGTTTTATTATAGACACTTGGACAGTCTCACCCAACCTCATGGCTTTAAATGCCTCCATATGCTAATGACACCCAAATTTATATCACCAACCCAGGCCTCTCCCCTGAACTCCAGACTCTTATTCCAACCGCATCCTTGACATTTCAACTTGGATATCTAAAAGTGTATCAAATTTAGTCAAAGGCCAAATTCCCGATATTCTCTCTAAATTGGCTTCTTCCATAGTCTTACTCATCTCAGTAAAAAACAATTTCATCAATCCAGTTGCTCAGGCAAAATCCCTGGCATCATCCGTGATCCTTTTCTTCCTCTCATACCTCATCCTTAATCCTTTAGCAAATCTGGTGTGCTCTACCTTCAATATGTACAGAATCTGACCACTTCTTACCACCTCTCACCACCAAGCCATCATCATATCTGGATTATTGCAATAATCTTATATTTGTTTTACCAGTTTCTGCCCTTGTTGATCTACAGTTTATTTCCCCACAATAGTCCAAATAATATTTTTCTTTAAATGTTTTTATTTATTTATTTATTTTTAGACAGAGTCTTGCTCAGTCACCAGGCTGGAGTGCAGTGGCACGATCTTGGCTCACTGCAACCTCTGCCTCGCAGGTTCCAGTGATTCTCCTGCCTCAGCCTCCCGAGTAGCTGGGATTACAGGCACATGCACCACCACACTCAGCTAGTTCTTTTGTATTTATAGTAGAGGCAGGTTTTCATCATGTTGGCCAGGCTGGTCTCTAACTCCTGACCTCAGGTGATCTGCCTGTCTCGGCCTCCCAAAGTGCTGGGATTACAGGCATGAGCCACCGCACCTGGCCCTATTTTTTTCTTTTTTTACAACAAAGTCTCGCTCTGTCACCCAGGCTGGAGTACGGTGGCCTGATCTCGGCTCACTGCAGCCTCGGCCTCCCGGGTTCAAGCGATTCTCCTGCCTCAGCCTCCCGAGTAGCTGGGATTCCAGGCATTTTGATATTTTTAGTAGAGGCAGGGTTTCACCCTTTAATAGAGGCTGGTCTCAAACTGACCTCAAGTGATCTGCCTGCCTCGGCCTCCCAAAGTACTGGGACTACAGGTGTGAGCCACTGTGCCAGGCCATAATTTTAATTTTTTTTACAGACAGGGTCTCAGTCTGTCACCCAGGCTGGAGTGCAGTGACGCAATCATAGCTCACTGCAGCCTCAAACTCTTGGGCTCACTATGCCTGGCTAATTTTTTTTTTGTTTAAGAGACGGTCTTGATATGTTGTCCAGGCTGGTCTTGAACTCCTTGGCTTCAAGGTATTCTCCAGCCTCAGCCTCCCGAAGTGCTGGGATTACAGGTGTGAGCCACCATGCCTGGTTTATTTGTCTTTTTCTTGTTGAGTTGTAAGGGTTCTTTATATATTCTAGTTAGAATTCACTTGTCAGGTATATGATTTGCAAATATTTTCTCCCATTCCTTGGATTGTCTTTTCACTTTCTGGATGGTGTCCTTCGAAGTACAGAAGTTCTGATGACATCCAGTTTATCTAATTTTTCTTTTGTTGCTCTGCTTTGGTGTTATATCTAAGAAATCATTGCCTCCTCTAATAAAGATGGTTTGCATCTATGTTTTCTTCTTAGAGGTTTTTTTTTTTTGTTTTTTTTTTTTTTTTTTTTTTGAGACAGAGTCTCACTCTGTCACCCAGGCTGGAATGCAGTGGCACGATCTCAGCTCACTGCAAGCTCCGCCTCCCAGGTTCATGCCATTCTCCTGCCTCAGCCTCCCAAGTAGCTGGGACTACAGGCGCCCGCCACCACACCTGGCTAATTTTTCTGTATTTTTAGTAGACACGGGTTTCACCGTGTTAGCCAGGATGGTCTCGATCTCCTGACCTAGGGATTCACCCACCTCCACCTCCCAAAGTGCTGGGTTTACAGGCGTGAGCCACCGCACCCAGCCTCTTCTCAGAGTTTTATACTTAAGCAACTCTTAGATTCTTCTAAGAATTTTACAGTTTTACATTTATGTCAAGGATCCATTCTGAGCTAGTTTTGGCATCTGGTATGACGTAGGGGTTCAACTTCATCCTTTTGCATGTGAATATGTAGTTGCATGTGAATATGGTAGTTCAACAGTACCATCTGTTGAAAAGACTATTCTTTCCGCCATTGAATTATCTTCATACCCTTGCTGAAAATCAATTGACTATTAATGTATAGAGTTAGTTTGAACTCTCAATTACATTCCATTGGTTTATATGTCTCTCTTTATACTAGTACCATGCTATCTTGACTACTATACCTTTGTAGTAAGTTTAAAATCAGGAGCCTGTAATCCCAGCACTTCGGGAGGCCAAGGCAGGTGGATCATGAGGTCAGGAGATCAAGACCATCCTGGCTAACACGGTGAAACCCTGTCTCTACTAAAAATACAAAAACAAAAAATTAGCCAGGCATGGTGGCGGGCATCTGTAGTCCCAGCTACTCGGGAGGCTGAGGCAGGAGAATGGCAAACCTGGGAGGCAGAGCTTGCAGTGAACCGAGATCGTGCCACTGCACTCCAGCCTGGGCAACAGAGCAAGACTCTTGTCTCAAAAAAAAAAAAAATCAGGAAGCATGAGTCTTCCAAATTTGTTCTTCATTGTTAAGATTATTTGGCTATTCTGAGTTACTGGAAATTCCATATGAATTTTAGAATCAGCTTGTCAATTTATACAAAGAAGCTAACTGGTATTCTAATAAGGATTGCACTGAATCAGTAGATCAATTTGGGGAGTATTACCATATTAACAATCTTAAGTCTTCCAATTCATGAACATAAGAAGTCTTTCCATTTGTTTAGGTCTTCTTTACTTTCTTTCAATGATATTTTGTAGTTTTTATTTGCAAATCTTGTACTTCTATTAAATTTATTCTTAACTATTTTTTCTTTTTGATGTTATTGTAAACGGAATTGATATTTTTTATTCTTTATTTTTGAGACAGTCTCGTTCTGTCTCCCAGGCTGGAGTGCAGTGGCGGAATCTGGGGTCACTGTAACCTCTGCCCTGGAGGGCTGAAGTGATTTCCCCACGTTAGCCCCCTGAGGAGCTGGGACTATGGGTGTACTCCACCATGCCTGGCGAATTTTTGCATTTTTTTGCAGAGACAGGGTTTCACCATGTTGCCCAGGCTGGTCTCAAACTCCTGACCTCAAGCGATCAACCCAACTTGACCTCCCAAAGTGCTGGGGTTACAGAGGTGAGCCACTGTGCTGGGCTGGAATTGATTTTTTAATTTCATTTTCAGTTTGTTTTTTTTTTCCCCGAGACAGAGTCTCACTCTGTCACCCAGGCTGAAGTGCAGTGGCAGGATCTTGGCTCACTGCAACCTCCGCCTCCTGGGCTCAAGCAATTCTCCTGCCTCAGCCTCCCAGGTCGCTGGGACTTACAGGCATGAGCCACCATACCTGGCTATCATTTTCAGATTATTCATTGCTAGTGTATAGAAATACAATTGATTTTTGTATATTAATGTTGTATCTTGCAACTTTGCTGAACTCATTTATTCCAATAGATTTTTGTTTGTTTCTTTAGGATTTTCTATATATACAAGATCATCTCATCTGCAAATATAGTTTTACTTCTGTTTCAATATGGATGTTTTTTATTTTTTTCTTGCCTAATTCCTCTGGCTGGAAACTCCAGTATAATGCTGAATAGAGTTACCTTTCTTGGTTTTTTTTGGGACAGAGTCTTGCTCTGTCACCCCCAGGCTAGAGTTCAGTGGTGTGATCTTGGCTTACTGCAGCCTCTGCCTCCTAGGTTCAAGAGATTCTCGTGCCTCAGCCTCCCAAGTAGCTGGGCCTACAGGTGTGTGCCACAGCCCCTGGCTAATTTTTTTTTTTTTTTTGTATTTTTAGTAGAGATGGGGTTTTGCCATGTTGGCCAGGCTGGTCTCGAACTCCTGACCTCAAGTGCTCTGCTTGCCTCGGTCTCCCAAAGTGCTGGGACTACAGGCATGAGCCACGGTGCCCGGCTGAGTTACCTTTCTATAACATGATTTTGGATTTTTATTTTCCTTCCTGGGAACCTTTCAATGACTCCACATTGCCCTCAGAATAGACTTCATTTTTTATTAGCTTACAAGGCCAATTTAAATCTCACCCCAGGCAGGCACCCAGCCACAGTGACTCACATCTGTAATCCCAGCACTTTGGGAGGCTGAGACAGGAGGATTGCTTGAGTCCAGGAGTTCAAGACCAGCCTGGGCAACATAGTGAGACCCAGTCTCTATAAAAAATAAAAACATTATCTAGGTATGGGGACATGTGTCTGTAGTCCCAGCTACTCAGGAGGCTGAGGTGGGTAACTGCCTGAGCCCAGTAGTTTGAGTCTACAGTGAGCTATGACTGCACCACTGCACTCCATCCTGGGCAACAGGGTGAGTCCCTGTATCTAAAAAAATTTTTTAAAAAAGATAACCCAATTCTTAATCACCATCATCATCATCATCATCATCATCATCATCATCATCATCACCATCATCATTGGATAGTCCCCATTTGCTGAGCACTTACTCCCCATGTCTCAGATACTATGCAAAGTGCTTTATAATCATTGTCTATTTAATTCTTTTACTCATTCTGTATGGTAGTCTGCATGAAACTGAGGGTCAAAGAGTTTTAATAACTTGACCATGGTGTTGTAGCTTATAAGTGGAGGACCTTGATTCAATGTCAAATTTGATTCCAAAGTCCATCATCTTAACCATTGTCCTGATGTTAGGGGTCCTAGCGTATAATTCTTACTTTTAAAAGGGTAAATAGGCCAGGCGCGATGGCTCATGCCTGTAATCCCAGCACTTTAGGAGGCCTAGGTGGGCAGATCACGAGGTCAGGAGATCAAGAGTATCCTAGCCAACTTGGTGAAACCCCGTCTCTACTAAAAATACAAAAAATTAGCCAGGTGTGGTGGCGCTTGCCTCTAATCCCAGCTACTCAGGAGGCTGAGGCATGAGAATCGCTTGAACCTGGGAGGCAGAGGTTGCAGTGAGCCGAGATTGCGCCACTGCACTCCAGCCTGGTGACAGAGCGAGACTCCATCTCAAAAAATAAAAATAAAAGTTAAAAAAAAAAGGGTAAAATAGATTCCTGATTGGGTGCTTAAAAATTCCAGGCCACTAGATTTAAAAATGCCATCAATGGAAAACAGTAAGAATCTCCTTTGCTTCCAGTGTTGATTGTGAATCTCTTGAGCTATTTTTGGGACTCTTTTGAGCTACTTTCCCCAATGACATAAACAAACATTACCACCACCTGCTAAGTGACAGATACTGAACTAGGTTCTCTCACACCAGTTGCATCATTTAACTTTCCCCGAAATCCTCAGAAGTAAGAATATCCTCATTTTACAAAAAAGAGAATCTCCAGAGAGAAACATTTCTCTCAGCCTCTTGTAGTCCAGCCATGAGTCCTTCTGGGTATTTTCTAACACCCCTTCCACCCTTCTCTGCTAGTTTCTTTCTCTCTCATCTCTACCATGCTCCATTTAACCAGACATCTCGCTCTTCTGGGCTTTGCTGACACATACTTTACCCACGGTAGGCCATATTCAGGTGCTTGATGAGAAGTCCCTGTAGGGTTTTAACCAGGAAAATAATAAGATCTGGTTTATGTTTTAAAAAGAACATTCAGGCAGAGTGCAGTTGTTCACCCCTGTAATCCCAGCGTTTTGGGAGGCCAAGGCAGGTGGATTGCTTAAGCCCAAGAGTTTAAGACCAACCTGGGCAATGTGGCAAAACCCTGTCTCTACAAAAAATACAAAAATTAGCTGGGTGTGGTGGTGTGAACCTGTAGTCCCAGTTTCTCTGGAGGCTGAGGTAGGAGGATCAACTGAGCCTGGGAGATGGAGGCTGCTGTGAGCTGAAATTGGACCACTGCACTCCGGTCTAGGTGACAGAGTGAGATGCTGTCTCAAAAAGAACAAAAAAAATCATTCAGGCTGAGGCAAGAGGATCGCTTAAGCCCAGGAGTTCAAAGCTACAGTGAGCCATGATCGTGCCACTGCACTGCAGCTGGGTGATGTAAATAAATAAAAATAGATCATTCAGTTTATGATATGGAGAATGAACTTAGGCAAAATCATGGAAGTAGGGATGTTGGTTAAGAAACTTTAGCAGTGGTCCAAGAGAAAGGCCATGGTAGTGGAGGTGGTGAAAAGTGGTCAGACCTGGAAATTAGGATCTTGGATATATATTGGAGATCGAGCCGACAGAACTTTCTGGTAGATTGGACTTGGGCTATGAGAGAAAGCACAGAATCAAGGAAGAAAAGTGATGAAGGCCTGAACAAGGCATCCTCTATTTGTGCTATAATGTGAGATGTCATGGGTTTAAACTGAGACACAACTGTGATTATGGCTTTGAAAATCTTTGACTGAAAGAGTTGTCTATTTGTTATTTTGTGTTTGTGGGGGAGATATATTAACTTTTCCCAATGACATAAACCAACATTATCAGCACCTGCTAAGTGACAGATACTGAACCAGGCTCTCTCACACTAGTTACATAATTTAACTTTCCCCAAAACCCTTAGAAGTAAGAATATCCTCATTTTACAAAAAGGGAAACTAGACTTAGTTTATGATTTGATGAAGGTCAGGCAGCCAGTCAAATGGGGCTGAGCTGGGATTTGAAATCAAATTTGACTCTGAAGCCCATGCTCTTGTTATTGCGCTGATTCAGAATCAGGATTCCTCAAACTTTTTTCCTCATCACTTGAAGTCTTCTGTTGACACTCATGTGCCCTACTTTAGAGCCCAAGTCTGGCAAACAGGACAGCTTTGTTCTGTCTGCAGCCCATCCTCTGACTTGCCTTGTGATTTAGGGCAAGCTTCTTAATTTGATGATGTCTCAGCATTCACACATGGTAAGTAGGGCTAGTAATTACCTATGGAGAAAATGCTTTGAAACCTGCAGATGAAAGAACCTGCAGCCATGAGTGCAAGGTTTCTTTCCTATGGTGTTCCTTTTGGTTTCTTATGGCTTCCAGCACTCTTCATAAAGGACAGAGAGGAAAGGAAGGAAATAGGGCAAGGGCAAAACAGTGTTTGCTTTCTCACTAGAAGCCAATGGCCTTTGGGGACATAAATATAATAATCTCTCTTACTGTATAGTACTCAATAAATATTACTAATGGATTAAATAAATTTTATGTAAAAAACCATTAAGTGGGCTTTGGAAGGCCACTGAAAACCTTTAAAAATATTTTCTATTTTTGTGTTCTGGTTACTTAAAGCCTACATGTTCTCCAGTAGGAAGAAAAAGGAGCTAATGCTTATCTAGTTTCTGCTGTGTCCCAGGTTTTCACATAAACCTTCATTTAATCATTGTAATAGCATGAGCAGGTAGGTATTATTATTACTTTTAGTTTACAGGAGAGGAAACCGTGGCTTGGTATAGTTCCTCACTTCTGCAAAGTCACCAAAGAACCTGCAGGACCAAAACTGGACCAACCTGGGCCTTCCCAGTCCTAAACTCAGCTTCTTCCCAGGGTATCCCACTGCCCTGAAAAGTTAGTGATGATGACAATTTTGAACTGTTCTATCACACCCTGCGTGTGTATGGCATTTACAAATCTCTTACTGCTTGTTCTTTTCATAGCTCAATCCCTGGCACAGGGATGGTTATTTGCATAGCACAATTGTTGTTATTGTGCTGCCTCACATATTCTTTCTGCCCTGGGCAAACGCGAACAATGATGGACTATATTTATGAAACCAGCAGCTTAGAAGCACGAGCTTCAGATTACCATGAGAATTGTAGTAAGATTTTAAAATACAGTTTAGCACCATCTATATGGAAAGCCCATCTCTCAAAGTCTCATGCAAATAAACTGGCCCTTTGTGTATTCAGAGAGTTCCTCAGTTTTTTTTTCCATAGTTTCAATCACTTCACATTTCTCAACTTTCTAGATGCTGACTTCACAGACACGCAGTGTTCATGAAGCGTTGATATGACAACTGCCTCTAAAAGCTAGAAAATAAGAAAATAAAAGTAGTTTTGATTTCCTTTAAGGATGGGTTGGGGAGGGGGGTTGGAGTTAGAGTAGGATAGAAAGATGATTGGTGACAAAGCTGTTTATGATTTAAGGTCTTCTCTTTAGGCTCATCCTGGATTTAGGGCTATCGTAAATCCAGAGCCTCATCTTCAGCTTCCCATGTTCAAGGGCAAAATTTTAACAAGTCTTCCTGGGTGGTGATTAATGTCTGCAGGACACCAGCAACACACCCCAGGAAAAAGCGCATTTGAATCAGAAGACCCGTGTATAATTGTGTATA